>NW_018654711.1:0-175849 GCF_000001405.40 Homo sapiens | reverse complement strand
TCTTACATTTCACGTGAAAGGATAATATTAATTACGGAAAGAAGCGGCAGAGAGAGGATGGAGAGGTAGGAAATCTAAGTGAAAATATCTTAGCAGTAAAGTAACTGCTAGGGAGCATATATTTCTTTGGTTAAAAAAAAAAAGAAACGACACAGACTGAATAATAAAAAGTCAATGTGTTGATAAAGTGGGTTTGGGTCTTTTAATTTTTTTGCCTTTTCTCCCCTTTCTTAAATTCTTGGTTTATTTATTCATTCATTCACTCATTTTTTCTTTTTTCTTATTCTTTTTCCTTTCTTTTTCTTTTCTTTTCTTTTTTTTTAAATCCCAGACAGAGTCCCCTCTCTCTTCCTAGGTAAATGACACGTCTCAGAACACATTTCCCCCCCGGGGATGTTATTGCAATGCACACGGTGCTGTCGCTGCTGCTGTTCTCGCCCGTCTTGGTAGCTCGCTCCCAGGCTCTCACACACTTTTTAAAGACACACGGATATGATGATGGTGGGAAGAGGGGGAAAAGAAAAGGCGACCTGAAAAGGGGGAGGTTAAAGAGATGACAAGAGATGGAGAGGGTCGCTCAAGAGCGTGATGTGGGAGGTGGCTGGTGGGGGTTGTCGGGAGGGTGGAATGTTCAGAGAGGCACAAGTTGCCAGCCAAAAGGCGTGGGAGGGGGATGCTGGCGGGAATGGAGTGAGATGAAGGAAGCTCAGGTGAATGAGAAGGCAAAAGGTGCCGCGTAAGGGGCTGACTGCTGGGAAGGCAGGGCTGAGCCAGTGTTAGAAATTCGAGGGGCTGGTGCAAACTGCCACTGCCCCCTGCCGCACCAGAGAGTAGGGGGAGGGGGTGGAAATCGCTGGGGACAGGGAGACTGGGAGGGGAGAGTGGAAATATGGGGTGGAATGGGGAAGATGGGGAATGGGCGAGAAGTTGATGTTCCCTGCGCCGGGGCGGGGATTACCTTGTAGCAGGAGCCCGCAGACACTGTAGAAGCGGAGAACGGCGCTGCGTTTCCAAATCATGGTCCCTTCTCTAAAGGGCTGGGGAAGGAACGAGGGGGCAAGTAGATGCTGGTGAGCGGGGCACGAGAGTGCAGGGCTCCGCTGGTGTCCTCCTCCCGGCGCCCGCCGGACCCACCGTCCCCACCGCTGCGGTGTTCGAACCCGCGGACTCGGATCGGCGGCAGCAGAAGCGGCAGCGGCAAAGCACCCGCAGAATGGGGTATCGCGAAATAGTTTCTTCTCCTCCTCCTCCTGCTGGTGGTGCAGCCGCGACAGCCCGTCTTCCAGGCAGGGGTTTGGAGCTTGCCTTCCTCTCGGCGCGCACAGCAAGTCCCAGAGCCCGCCGGGGCTGCCCGAGCAGGTGGTGCAGGGATGCCGGGGTGTTGGAGAAGGTGCGGGCGAGGGCTGCAAGGAGTGGGTAGGTCACGGAGGGGAAGGGCTGGGGGAGAGGAGGAGCAAGCAAGCAGCACTGCCGCTCGCGCCCGGGGTGTCTCGGGGTCCTGGGAGGGGAGGTAGAAGCAGTGGAAGCAGCGCTAGTGGCGGTAGCAGCGGCAGCGGCGGCGGCAGTGGCGGCTCCCGGATGCTCCGGCTGCAGCGGCGGCTGTGGCGGCAGCGGCAGCGGCGACGGCGGCAGCTCTACGAAGCACCAGACACAAGGGCAAGCTCAGAGCGGCGGAGGCCCCGCCCCCACCCCGGCCAGGGACAGACACCGCCCCCCGGCCAATGGAAACTCCCCCGCCCACCAGGTCTGGCCAATGAGAGAAGGGGATGGGTGGAGACAAGCGCCGGGAAAAACAAACAGGCTTCTCAAGGACCCTTCGGGCAGGAAGAACTGAAGCCCCCATTCAGCACCCCTGGCGGATCTTACCTCTTTAGAGATGTCTCGCCCGAACTTGCAGGCGAGACAACTGCCTTCATTAATCAGCGCTTTGCACTCAGGAAGGGTTCAGCCAATCGCCACCGCGAGGGGGCGGGGTTAGCCGTGTCCCCAGCATGTTCTGGAATTCGTGGTGCCTGGGCCAGGTCCTGGGTGCGAGGTTCTTCTGCGCATTTGGACTCCTAGAGCAGATGGTGGCTGCACCTGCCCACTCACCAGCTGCAGTAGCAATCTCTGACGATTCCAGCAGCAAAAGGGAAAGATTGCAGAGGGCGTGGGAGAGGCTAAGTATAGGGAGTGGAACACCTACCTGCCTACAAGAACTTGTGCAAAAAAGGAAAAACAAGTGGAGGAAATAATTTTGTTGTTGTTGTTGTTCAGAGGTTTTACTTAGTCTAGGTATAAATCTCAGTAGAGCTTGGTGAGTAGCAGTGCTGGCACTGGCATCAGGCAGCCTTTGGTTCAAATAGCATAGCTGTCGCTTCATGTTTTATAATATTTGATGATTTACTTGAACGTTTAAGTCTAAAGCCTCCTCAACTGCAAAACCAGGATAATAGTACTTAAAGAGTTGTAAGGATTAAGTGAGAAAGCAATCATGTTAGCGTAAGTCCATGCAATGCGTACATACTTTAAAAATGGTGACTCTAGCTGTTTATTGGGATTTTTCTAATTCTGGATAGCAGGAAATCTTAGGCAAGCCTCTTTAAAATGTTTTAACAATAGCCTTACGAGGGGAGAGAGGCAGAAGTGCACTTTTTTAATGGACCTAACCAAAAGGAGTCACAGAAACTCAGGAAGCTGGAAAGAGCCACCTCTATAAATCAACACCCTGAAATGTGTCCTTTAGAAGAGGAGACATAAATGAGCAAGACATAAATGAATCAGAAGTTGTGTTTCTAAATGAGCTTAATTCCCAGGTTTTCCCTATGACCAGTTTTTAATTGGACCAAATTGGCAGATGATGGACTGGTTCAGTAGTGTTAAATCAGTCACACCATAAATAAAGTCGGCTTTGTTTGAGAGACTACACAATAGAAACCTGCAAGCAAGAAGACAGAGGGAAAGATGAGAGGCAAGATCAATATTGATGCCCTTCACTCTTTCCCATTTGTTGCTTACTTTGCCACAACCTTTTGCAAATTCAACCCTTGCCTTTTAACTAATGACCCATTCATTTCTCTGCCCACCTTTCTCCCCAGGTTCTCAAAATTAAGGAACAAAATGTCCATAATAAAACTGCAAGCACATTCTTGAAGAAAGATGTGTGAATACCTGTGTTATTGTAGGAGATAGTTGCCTACTGTGAGTTTTAGCTGTTAGGAAAGTCAGTCAGTGAGTCCACAGATACTGCTATCATTTAACCTATTGTGAGGATCAAAAGGTGAAATTCTAATCATTATTGACTCACGCTTAGGTTTTGTGTCAGGGAGAATATAACAAATGGAAATGCCAAAGAAGTTAGGATTTGTTTATTGAAATGGTAGTCGGAGTTTCTGGGTTCTAATGCACATGCTGCTTCTAGCTGTATGACCTTGGGCATATATTCAACTTCCTTGACCCTCAGTGGCCTCAACTATAATATGAAGGAGCTGGACTTAATTACTTATAAAGCTACATTGAGCAATAGAAAAAAAAACTTTAAGATTATTATATTGAAGAAAATACCCCATTTGAGCATGAATATATAGGCATTTGTAACCAATACTCTGAAAAAGAGTCTTCTTCTGAGTCTTGTTGATAACCATGACAGCAATTTGGATTTGTACCCTCATATAATCTATAGCGTTACTACTAAATATGTGGTTCTCAGACCAGCAGCACCAGCAACACCTAAGAATTTATCAGGACAGCAGAATCTCAGCCCTGCCCCATACCTGCGGAGTCAGAATCTTCATTATACCAAGATTTGTAGTGATTTGTACGCACACAAAGTTTGAGAAGCACTGGTCTTTAACACTATTTTGCCACATACTCACCCCCAGGGATAATTTCAGTGGGCAATCTCTGAAACGGAAGAGCCTAAAAAGCCTAGGGGATTTTTGGTAAATTACTGCTTTCAGAAACTCATGACAAAAGTAACTCCATTGGTAAACTATGAAACAAAATGATTAATTTAATTAGTTTTTTTTAAGTTGAAAGTTTGATTAAGTGAGAGTCATGAACTTTCTTGTGATTAAGGGCTCTCTTTAGCCCATACACCCAGGGGACTAGAAGTGAAATGTGCACTGATTGCATTTATGGGAGAAAAATACTGAAAACATAAACTCTGGTCATTTGGATAAATAATGTCAGATTCATGTACAAAGAACAGATAATACTCTATTTTTCAAGTAGTCTATTCTTAGATACTATTACACAATTAATTTAAAAATTGCCAGTACTCAATGTTGTGAGATATTTGAATATTTTAGAAAAATGTGACATTGTCAAAATGTTATATAGACTTGTACGAATAAATACATTTCTAAAACTTACAGCTGTTCTGTGAATACAATTAAATATCTTCCAGTATCTTCATTTCATAGGTTTAAGGTTATATTGTCTACATATATCATCAATGTGGCAGTAAATGTATAAATTAACTGACCCCATAGGAATCATCAATTAATTAGTTTCATAAATTGCCAAAAGATGGCATCTATCCACGCATCCCTATATGCAATAGTTTGAAATATTAAACCTGTTTGCAAAATTTTCTTTACTTTCTTTATAATTAAGCCCCGTATTCTCTTTCACTTCATGGCAAAAATATTTTTAAATATTTAATTAAGTGTTTTGAAATCCAATATAAAACGAAGAGAAATTAATGCCTTACAAGCAAGTAATTCATTAGTAATTAATGTATTATATAAAAGATAGTTTATATTTTGTTCTGCCTTGAACATATTGGTCCTCTTTCTTTATACTATCACAGAATAAGATGGCAACCTCCTCCTCCTCTCTCAGTAGTACCAAAGATAGGTTTTTTTTTAAGGTAGTTATCACAGAAGAGACTACAGTTAGCTTATATTTTATGACTGTTTCTACCACAGTTGAAAGTATTGAAATTTATTCTGACTGTGATGATTATGCTCTTTTACACTTTTGGGAGCCAAGTAAACTGTCTACGGTTTTAATTATGCTAAAAATATTGAAATGAAAATGGGAAAACAAATGTCACTTTTATCACTATGGATAAATTTCCTGTGATTTCACATGGTTCACCAGAACATTTATATTTCTCTTTTAAAATGCTAAATTTAGGGGAAATATCTAATTTTTTTAAAATATACAGTCATTCCCAGAACTGAAAATCTAAAAATTCATGCTAAATTGACTCTCATAGCAAATTGACCCTTGTAGTAAATTGACCTAGAAAAACAGATTTCATGGCCTGGTGAAAATGTACACCATTGTGGAAGAAAATTAGCTTATTGAGTACTGGAAACATTGATTGTCATTCTCCTTGCTTGCTAGCATTTTAAGTATGAGATAATCTGCCTGTGTTGCAGAAATGTTAAGAATTTATAGGCATAGTATATAGTATATACACCACAATATAAGTAGTATTAATATATATGATGTGTGTATATGGTTGGTATATGTATTTTTGTATATATATACAAAATGGTTTGTATGGTTGGTATATGTATTTTTTGTATATATTTATGGCAATATTTACTGCTTTAGATAGTTTTTTAACTTACAATTTTGCTACTGTTTATAAAACACTCAGTGTCCCTCTTCAAAATATAACCTATTATTTTACCTCACCCCACTCCACATGTCTTATTATTAGAATTTCATGTTATGTTGATGAAAGTATATAAAAGTAATGAAAATAAATTCACAAATTTTCAGAAATGTATAACCTCAAAATGATCTCTTCCTTCCTTTTTATATAGCTACATCAAGTAGCAATATGATCAACATCTTCACCTTCTCTCGTTTTAAAATATGCAATCACAACGTATAGAGTGCAAATGACCTAATGATCTTATGTAGTGTAAATTCTATTTATACAATGATTGAATGTAAATGATCTAAGATATGTGGCCATCATGTACTTTCTTAAACTCATCAAGAAGGATAATTCCTTTCTCTACATTTTCCTCAGGACAAGCACATATTAACCCTAATTCATAGATGATCATATGATCCTTGAGTTTAACAGCAGGTAATACGTAAAATGGAAGTTTTGCAAATAATCATCTATAAACGGAAACAACCTGAAGATCACTGTCTACTTTTGAACATAATCATACTGAAAATTGACTTCATTAAAAAAAACCAAGTAAACAACAACAAAAAAAACTTTCACAACAATGACTCTATAGCTATTCAAGCCAATTTTATTCCTGACATATAATTTTTTGCATGTGGAGTTTTTTTTTCCCTGCAACACTCCTATTGGAGATCATCATATTTGTCATTTCCTTACATTACCAAAGAGTCTGTCCAAATGTGACATTCTCAGTGAGGCATTGCTGATAACCCTTTTCCTCTTCACCCCTACCTCCTCTGGTCACTCTTCATGCTTCTAATTTTATTTTTCTTCGTATCATTTGTAAACTTGAACTTATATAATTTAAATCATTTATTTACATGTGTGTTTGTTTTTCTCCCCAACTAAAATGTAAGTGGCAAGAAGAATGCAGGGACTTTGGCTTGTTGATCAAATTTTTGGCAGCTAAAAATAAACATAGTAATCACTCAATATGTGTTTGCTAAAGGAATGGGTGTCTGGTTTATCCTGTAAAAATATAGATTCCTTTATCTTTCCTCTGTGTCTGTTTTAAGGGCAGTATTTCCCTATGTAAGTAATTCTAAGTATTCTTAAGTGGAATGGCTCGAACTAAAAGATTCTGCACTTAAAAAATTATTTCTATTTTCATTTACAAAAGAAGTCCATATGGGCTGTTACAAATATAAGCTGTGGAGAAATAAATAAAATTCCACTCCCCATTCATAATAATTGTTGACCTTTTTTTGGGGGTGGGGGTGGGGGGTGGGGACACTGTCTCTGTCCCCCAGGCCAGAGTCAATGGCGCAATCTCGGCTCACCGCAACCTCTGCCTCCCGGGGTCAAGTGACTCTCGTGCCTCAGCCTCCCTAGTAGCTGGGATTACAGGTGTGTGCCAGCACGCCTGGCTGAGTTTTGCATTTTTAGTAGATACAAGGTTTCACCATGTTGCCCAGGATGGATTGAAATTTTGACCTCTAGTGATCCACCTGCCTTGGCCTCCCAAAGTGCTGGGATTATAGGCATGAGCCACTGCGCCCAGCAGATTGTTCACCATTTCTTAACTGTTCCTGACTTTTTCAGCCACAAGCAGTTTGGAATAAATAAATAAGAAAACCTATAGTCATTTATTAAAGTGTGCATTTTTTAAGTGTCAGTGACTGTTTTTTAGTGTGAATCTTTGTGTTTCCTTAGAGCAGAAGATTCTTTGTATTTGCATTACCATTTAATACAATTTCTGTTAGGAATATTACGAGTACTTCTATGGAATGAGAAGGGCAGACTAAAAATACTGAAACCAACTAAGGACCCTGTTTCTTGACCCAGATTGACTAAATAACAGGAGCTATCTTGGTAATTCACATAGCTGAAATAAAGGAATTGTGAAGAACATTAGGATTTTACTGATTTTTTATAAACCCAAGCTAAATTAAACTACCTTAAAATCTCACTATTGTAAATAGCCAATTTTATACACATCTCTAAGGAACATCTGATTTGTACCTTGATACAATAAAAAGAAAAAATAAAAGCAATAAAGCATCTTGAAGTAGCAAACTAACAATTACTAAAAGAACAGAAGAGAATAGCAGGAAATGGATCTGGAAGGTAACATACAAGTTACAAAATAGTATGGCTTAAAAAATATGGCTTTTTCTCTAGAGCTGTGCTGTCCACCAGGTAGGTACTAAGCATGAATGGCTATTTAAATTTTGATTTAAAATAATTAAAATGCAATTAAATTTAAATTATGCACTTTTGTCATACTAGTTAAATTTTAAGCACCCAATAGCCACATGTGGCTAGTGACTGCTGTATTGAACAGCACAGATAAGAACATTTTCATTATCACAGAAAGTTCTACTGGATAGCACTGTCTACTATATCAAAATCTGTTTTTGTCTGAGTTCTCCAGAGAAACTGAGCTATTCAGAAGTCTGTATATGTGTGTGTGTGTATGTGGCATCTATACCATAATGATGTTTATTTATTTATTTGTATCATTATTATATTGAGACAGGGCCTTGCTCTGTCACCCAAGCTGGAGTGCAGTGTGGCTGGATCTTGACTCACTGCAGCCTTGACCTCCCTGGGCTCAGGTGATCTTTTCACCTCAGCCTCCCGAGTAGCTGGGACTACAAGCGTACGCCACCATGTCTGGTTTATTTTTGTGTTTTTTGCAGAGACAGGATTTTGCCGTGTTGCCCAGGCTGATCTCGAATTACTAGGCTCAAGAGATCTGCCTGTCTCAGCCTCCCAAAGTGCTGGGTTTATATGCATGAGCCATTGTGCCTGGATTGTTTTTTAATTTTTATTTTTTGTGAGTACATAGTAGGTGTATATATTTATGGAGTACATAAGATGTTTTGACACAGGCATGCAATGCATAATAATCACATCTTGCAGAATGAGGTATCCATCCCCTCAAGCATTTATCCATTGTGTTACAAACAATCCAACTATACTTTATAATAACTTATTTTAAAATCTACAATTAAATTATTAGTGACTAGAGTGACCCTATTATGTTATCTAATGGTAGGTCTTATTTATTCTAACTTTTTTTGTTTTTTTGAGATGGAGTCTCACTCTGTCGCCCAAGCTGGAGTGCAGTGGTGTCATCTGGGCTCACTGCAAGCTCCGCCTCCCGGGTTCCCGCCATTCTCCTGCCTCAGCCTCCTGAGTAGCTGGGACTACAGGCACCCGCCACAGCGCCAGGCTAATTTTTTGTATTTTTATTAGAGACGTGGTTTCACCGTGTTAGCCAGGATGGTCTGGATCTCCTGACCTCGTGATCCGCCCGCCTTGGCCTCCCAAAGTGCTAGGATTACAGGCGTGAGCCACCGCGCCCGGCCCTATTTTTTTTTTTACACCCGTTAACCATCCCCACCTTTCTCCAATTCCCCTATTACAATTCCCAGTCCCTGGTAAACATTCTTCCACTCTCTGCGACCATGAGTTCAATTGTTATGATCTTATATCCCACAAATAACTGATAACGTGATGTTTATCTTTCTATGCTTGGCTTATTTCACTTAATGTAATGATCTCCAGTTCCATCCATGTCGTTGCAAATAACAGGATCTCATTCTTTTTCACAGCTGAATAGTACTCCATTGTATATATGTACCACTTTTCCTTTATCCATTTCTTTATCCAAAATTTTGAAATTTTGGCGATTGTGAACAGTGCTGTAACAAACAAAGAAGTGCAGATATCTCTTAAATATACTGATTTCCTTTCTTTTGGGTATATACCCAGCAGTGACATTGTGGGATCTTATGATACCTCTATTTTTAGTTTGTTGAGGAACCTCCAAACTGTTCTCCATAGTGTTTGCACAAATTTGCATTTCCATCAACAGCATAGAATGGTTCCCTTTTCTCCCCATCCTCACCAGCATTTGCGATTACCTGCCTTTTGGACATAAGCTATTTTAATTCCTGTGAGTTGATATTCATTGTAGTTTTGATTTGCATTTCCCTGATAATCAATGATGTTGAGCACCTTTTCATATGCCTGTTTGCCATCTGTATGTTTTCTTTTGAGAAATGTGTATTGAAATATTTTGCCCATGGGTTTTTTTTTTTTTTATCAGATTATGATTTTCTTTTTCATGTAGAGTTGTTTGAGCTCTTTATACTTTCTGGTTATAAATCCCTCCCAATCTGTGGGTGGTTTTTTTATTTTATTGATTGTTTCCTTTGCTGTGCAGAAGCTTTTTAACTTGATGTGATCTCATTTGTCCATTTTTGCTTTGGTTTCCTGTGCTTTTGGGATATTACTCAAGAAATTATTGCCCAGACCAATGCAATGTTCTGGAGAGTCTTTTCTTTTCTTTTCTCTTTCTTTCTTTCTTTCTTTCTTCCTTTCCTTTCTTTCTTCCTTTCCTTTCTTTCTTTCTTTCTTTCTTTCTTTCTTTCTTTCTTTCTTTCTTTCCTTCCTTCCTTCTTTCTTTTCTCTTTCTTTCTTTCTTGTCTCTCTTTCTTTCTTCCTTTCCTCTCTTTCTTTCTTTCTTTCTTTCTTTCTTTCTTTCTTTCTTTCCTTCCTTCCTTCCTTCTTTCTTTCTTTCTTTCTTTCTTTCTTTCTTTCTTTCTTTCTTTCTTTCTTTCTTTCTTTTTCCTTCTCTTTTCTTTTCTTTTCTTTTTTGAGACTGAGTATCGCTCTGTCACCCAGGCTGGAGTGCAGTGACCCAGTCTCGGCTCACTGCAACCTCCGCCTGTTCTGGAGATTTTCTCCAATGTTTTCTTGTAGTGGTTTCATAATTTGAGGTCTTAGATTTGAGTCTATAATTCATTTTGATTTGGCTTTTGTATATGGTGAGAGATAAGTGTCTGGTTTCATTCTTCTGCATAAGGATATCATAATGATATTTATGATAAGGAATTATAAGGAGTTGGTTCACAGGGTTATGGAGGCTGAGAAGTCCCAAGATTTACTGTCAGAGAGCTGAAGACCCAGGAAAACTGATGATATAACTTTAGTCTGTGATGGTTTATTTTATATGTCAACCAGACTGTGCTTACAGATGTCCATATAGCTGATAAGATATGATTTCTGGATGTATCTGTGAGGGTGTTTCTGGAAGCGATTACCATTTGAATCAGTAGACTAAGTAAAGAAGATTTACCCTCACCGGTGTGAGTTGGCATCCTCCAATTTGTTGAGGGCTCTAGTAGAATAAAATAATGGAGAAAGGTGGAGAAAGAAAAAATTCCCTCTCCCTCTCCCTAAGCTGGGACACCCATTTTCTCTTGCCCTCACACATCAGAGCCCCTGGTTCTTATGCCTTTGAATTCTGGGACTGACACCAGGTTCTACTCCTCCTTCCCCCACATCACCACTGGTTCTCAGGTCTTCAGACTCACTGAATTAGACCACCAGCGTTCTTTGTTCTCTACTTTGCAGATGAAAGATGGCGGGACTTCTCAGCCTCCATATTTACATGAGCCAATTTCCAGAATAAAATTACTATTGGTTCTGTTTTTCTAGAGAATGCTAACTAATGCATTGTCTGCATCCAAGTCCAAAGGCAGGAGATGACTGATGCCCCAACTTGAAAATAGGCAGAGAGAGAGAGGATTCTTTCTTACTCAGCCTTATATTCTATTCAAACATTCAGTGGGTTGGATGAGGCCCAGATGCATTGGAGTAGGAAATCTGTTATACAGTCTATTGATTCAAATGTTAACCTCATTCATAAACATACTTACAAAGAAATATAACCAAATATTGGGTACCCTGTGGCCCAGTCATATTGACACACAAAATTAAACATCACCCCTTTCATCTGATATGCATCATATTAGCCTTCATCATCACTACCATGGTATTTTCATGACCCTAGCTCTAAATTTCAGACATTACAATTTGGAGGAAATAAGATTTACCTCTCAAGTATGTCAATGTGCTACCTAATGCAGTTTGTTTATTTTGCTATATATTTGCCTCTTTCTGGTAACACTGATATTAAAATCATCATCTTGGCATAGGAGTTGGGGAGAAGAGAACCTCCTTACTCCAAGTATTACCTTACAGTACAGTCTATTAATATAAACAAATACATATGTATATATTAGTCTAAACTCTTTGGTTGCAAGTGTCACAAATCCAAATCAAATTAGCTTAAGAAGAAGAAAAAAATCTATTAGTTCATTTAACTTTAAAGTCCAAATGAGGTGTAAAAAGTCCACTTTGATTCTAATGACTCAGTGATATAATTAGAATTGTGTTTCATTTCATCCAAATATGAACTCTAATTTCTTTTGGATTCATTGAGGACTAATCAAGCTCTCCACACAGACAAACAAAGAGGGTCAACAGATTTCTGGCTTACCCTATACTTATGTTTACAGGTTCCAGAGTGAAGAAAAGAGCTATTTCTTTATAACTCTGACAGGATCCTTGAATGACTTAGAAACAGTTCACTTTTTATTATGTGCTCATCCTTCAATGACTCACTTTGGTGGATTGGCCAGTGGCAGACAGTGAAGTATAGATATTTCATTAAATTATCTCGCCAGAAGGGAGGACAAAATTCTAAAAGAGAAGATGCTGCACAGACAAAATGTAACAAATGTCCCAAGACAGAATACAATAAAATTAGAAAATGTAATACAAGGGACATTTATAGTGATACAAATGTTATTTTGTTACCCATGATAGTTAGAAGGATGTAGCAAATGACAATTTTTAACACTTTACACAGGACACGTAGTGTCTCAAAAAATAGTTATGGAACGAATAAACATACTGCTGTAATAAAGTTCTCACTACTGGCAAAATGTAGAAGAGGATTATCCTCAGATTTTACTGAGCCAAAAGATTACTTTTCTGCTTTTCTATGATAGATCATAATACTGTGTATCTAAGTGTCATATCAGTTCTTGAAAATTAACAACAGTTAAATGCTGATTAATTTCCAGCTTTTCTCCCCTATAATTTTCACATTTTTTTTTTAAGAATTGCTTAGAGTCACCCCTGCGCTTATTGCATGCATACTTAGTTGTTTCCCCTGTGTGCCTCCTTGCACTTGTCCCTATTAAATTTCATACTGTTTTTGATGAATGACTACTCTAATTTATCAAGGTCATTTTAAATTCTAGTTTGGGCTTCTAAGATCAAAGCAACCCAGGCAAACTCCGTGTCACATTAGACGTGTTCTTAATTATTTTACCTAAATTTTTACAACAAACACATGTGCGTGCACACACACACACACACGTCATAAGAATTTCAATCTTAAATTACCTTACTGGTACTCCAGGAAAGAGTTTGTTATTTGTTAGGATTTGGATAAAGCCTTAGACTTGGATGAAATAGAGTTAGCTTGCTAGCTCTCTACATTTTATGAGATTGCTTTCAGAGAAAGTATTTAGTTCAGCAAGGCAGAATGACATATTTTATGCCTATAGAGTTTGATAAGCAAGAGTGAAGACCAGGATTCTGATACCTAGGATCAGATAAAATGAAATGCAAATTTGAAGTCCCAAAAAGGAATTTTGAGCAACATGAAAACAGAATTTGAGAGCACAATGCTTAGAGAAAGACCCCAAGTTCAGGACAAAAGCAGAAGAACTTGATGAAAAACCAAATACATTTTATGGATGGAATTCCTAGCTGACCCCTTGTTTAGAGAAAAGAAGAAAAGTTTTGGAATCAAACTCAGCTGGTAGAGTTTGAGATCCAGGAAATTATAGATCTATGCTTACATTTTTCTTGTGATTTTTTTATTTTGTTTTTTGTTTGAACTGAATGAATGTATACAGACTATTTTAACCAGCCACCTTCATAGCATAAAATGATTGAATATATTAAAAAAGGCATATAAAGATTTTAATGACTTGTCTAAGGACACAGAACATTTTAAATAGAAAGAGAATAATAGAACAAAATGTTTCCTGATGCACAGCCAAATGCTAAAGATGGTGTGTGTTCCCACAGCAACATTGTTGAAGTCCTTCTGGGTATTGTTTATTCACTGGATAGTTTTGGCAAAAAATGGTAAATTGTCTACCTCCAAAAATGTCTCTATCATATGACATCCACCTAGAAATTGAAAGATCATATTCAGATTACACCAATATATTTAGACAATTTTTAAAACTATTCAGTATAAAAATGTCTCATATATAATCAAGTTTATATGATCAACTGTCTCAGCAACCAGTATCATAGGAATGCAGTCATCCAGACTGCTACATGTTGATAATGAATTAGGCATTTGTTCTTCAGTAAATGATTATAGTGGAGGAGAAAGAGATATAACATTTATTGTGATTTTTTTTCTAGGTAAGATGCTTTCATAATACCATATATAATCATCAATCCAATAAAATATATCTATTATCGATATCAATTTATAAACAAATAACCTGAACTCAGAAAGTTTAAATAATTTTATCAAGTTGTAAAGGTAGTAAATGCCAGATCAACATTACTTTAAATCTTGAATATTGTGATTGCTTATATTCTCCTTTAGCAAACCTAAGCAAACAGAGATATAAAATTATCATTATTACAAAATATGCTTTATTCTTTTTACACTGAGGTGATAATATGGAAGTCCTATTGAAAAAGAAATCAGCACCATGGTCAGATCCACACCCTCTGATGTGCACTTCCTATCCCCGAAATGAGTCCTTGTGAAGGAAGAGAATGAGATAAGAAAGTTAGAATAGAAGTTGCTGGAACACTAAATCCTTTACCTCTGCATACATTAGAATATCTGAGATATCCACTCCACAAAGTGAAAACCAGCACTGTTTTTGAAAGCTTTCTTTGTTGTCCCTCAAGACTTCCCAAGGAGAATTTCCACAGGTTTTTCATGCAAAAAGTTTCTGTACTTTAAACATATTTACAGAAATGGCATTACCAAATATCATTTGAAAATGTCAATGCCTTTCCTTAGGCACACAAAGCTTCTATATTTTTAATTTTCCCACTTGCCCTCCTATTATTTCTATAGTACATATTATCCTTCTAACTCATAAACTAGGTTCTATGCTTTCATTACTGGTCTACATTCCAAAAACCCTAGAGGGATTTTATCCTTACCACATATTCCATTTTGCATCACTTAGAAAACAAAAATTTTCACACTCTTTGGACTTTCCGAAACGTCATTTATTTAATAACACTACAGAGCCGTTATGTTTTAAAAATTATATGAACAATTCACAGATAACATGTTTAACCAAAAATTCTGATTTCATAATTCTAACCAGTGCTTCTTCCATAGAGGTAAATGGTCACTTTTCTTTTTCAACATAAATAAAAACAGTATCATAGTTAGTGTAACTTAGTATCTAAAATCCTGTTTATTTGTATCTATTTAAATGTGAAGTATTATTTTCCATGTCTGCATAATTCTGCAAAAGACTGATCACATTGTTCTCTAGATTCTGAGATACACTGATTTAAATGAGAGTGAATTTTGCTCGCAGCTACCATGTGTTTTGGAAGAAACAGCCTGCAGCCAAAGTTGCCTTTCTGCTGGCTTTACATATAGGAGAAACGGTAGAATTATAGCTGATTTTCAGCAACCTAAACTTAACAATGGTTTGTATTGTAAATGTTTATTTGTGTTTCTGTCTTTAAATGGGACTATTAAATAATACTTTTAAATACCACCTAGGATCTGAAAATTTTGATAAATAATACAAAGAATAAGGTTTGGGGGCCAAAATATCAGCTATTTACCTGACAAATAACAAGTTGAACCCTTTATGTTCGTCAAGGGGTTCTGCTAATTGAACCCTGAATCTTCATAGTTATAAACACCATCAAATGCACTTTTCTGTCACGGCATTAGCCCTTCTAAAGAGAGGGTTGAGGAGGGGGTGGGGAGAAGTAGTGCTCAACCTGTGTAATTCTGTGACACTAAAAACAAAACCCTTAACAAAAGAGAATGTTCTTTCCCTGTGAGCATTTCCCTCCCGAGATGAGGAAGAGAAGAAGGAACAAATTATGTCAAAAATATTATTCCCAAAATTACCAATCAGGCATCGCATCTCCCTCGAGCTAGAGAGAAGCCAAAAGTTTCATAGTAATTGAGGCTCCTTCACACAAAGAAAACTTTACAAGAAAAGTGTGCTCTTCCCAATATAGTTACCATGATATGCCACAGTTTTGGTTTGGTTTGGTTTTATTGTTGTTTTTCCTTTACTTAAGTGGGCTTCATTGTTAAATCTACAGTCAAGCAGAGTTTTGGCTATTTTCCTCTGGCAAGAAGGCTGACCATCACTCTGGACACGTCTGCTCCCACCTTCATGCTGCCATGTTCCCAATCCCAACCACTGCACGTTTTTGCTATCCTCCAGGAGTCACCGAAGGATACAAATGAATCAAAACATATTAATTGTACCAAATCCAAGTTTTCATTTTAGTAATGCTAAATAATTGTTCCCTATTCCATTTTCCATTACAAATGTAAATTCACTTAGTCCAATACAGCCCATTTCAGACCTACCTTGAAATTGAAGGCAACGTACTTTAAGAACAAAATATATAAAGACATTTCAATAAAATTCTAGGAACAAAGAGATGTCCCAAATTTGAATATAATCTCCTTCCTATTGTGACTTGGGAGAACTAAAGTCAGAAAGAATAAACCTCCTTGCAAATTAAAGTCCTAAAATGTTAAAACCCAGAGAAATTGAAGTTCATATTGAAATTATCTTTACTCTTGCAATATTTTATTTTGAATAAATTAATGTAAAATTTCCCCACCCTAACTACAAATTTTGTATATTCTCAAACAGTTGGTTCTCAGTGCCTGAGCCATGTTTCTTTAGTAACTACAACCAGAACTATCTGTCATGGGAATGGGTTCAGTTCTTTAGAGCCTCTTGAGTTGTATTAGCCATAGATGATATGGCTCACTTTTAGAGGGTCCAAAGAGTTAATCATACACATCATATTTTATGTACAAAACCAAAGCTACCCAAATGTAGATTAGAAGCAGTCCATCACATCTAGAACAGTTTATCCCTAGCCAAATTTTGTTCTCAGAAGTCTTTCTTCATGCTATAAGAGACCATAGTGGAGTTTCAGTGTTAAGATAGTAAAGGAGAGAGGATGGAGTAAAAATTGAATTTAGCCTCCCTGGACCAAAAGATCATTCATTCTTTGCCATGTCTCCAAAATCACCTGAATGAAAACTCATTCCTGTCCAACAATTAATCATGGAGTTGTGATTACCACATTAATTGCCATTGCTCTTTAAGTCCCATGTTTCTGGCACTCCAATAATGACTTGAGTACAGGTTCAATCTGGCAACGTAGAGTGCACATTCTCATACAAACAGGCGTTGTCATTCCTGGATCATTTCCACAAATTGCAATGTACTGCGTAAGGCCTAAGAAACCTTTTCCTAAAAAATGTTTACCCTCCAAAACTTTGGTCTCAGTTAAAAAGACATCCTCTGTAGCTGAAACTGCTGTGGATGTCTCTGGCCCCTAGTGGCCTAATAAGAACAAGGCATGAGTCGTAGTCTTTCCTTTGCTTTAATGTTACAACTTTTGAGTAGCATTTCATTGTTGCTACATTTTCTGCACCCCTGTGATAAGTGGTTGACAGTTTGTTTCTTGTTTTGCTTTCTTTTTTTTTAGTATTTTCTGATTATCTAATTTTATTTTTCTATTCTAGAAGACTCAGCTACATTCTTAAGTCTGTAACTCATAATCCGAAGTTAGAACCTGCACAGTGTAGCTAGCACAAATCTAACACAGCTGCAGTTTTAAACTAGTAGAGATTGTTTTGCCAACCAGTGCCTTAATAGCCTGTGAAGACACTCTTTTTCCTATAATTGTATATTTGCCTCAACTGTTCCTGCTTACTGAGGCCTTTGTGATCTGTCAGCATCTGCCCTGAATGCCAGCATATATATTCTAGATGTAGTTCAAGCTAAAGACTCAGCAGCCTCTATCCTAAAGTTCCCCACATTTGGCAAAGGCCTCCCATGATTTTTGCTGAGGCCCATGTGGCCCATGCCTTTGGTAGTGCTAATCCTCTCATGCAGCTGTCATTTGCCAAGGTAAACTATATGCCAAAGCCTCTTGCCTAGCACACAGAACATAAAAGCCAATAGCATCGCTGTAAATACACGCTAGTCCCAACATAAGCTGCTATACACAGTATAGATCAAAATACCCTGGAGCACAAAGCTCAAAGCCACTGGTCCTGGTCCCACCAAATTCTTTCCCTAATATATTTCCCCTCTGCAAATGGTCATTTTTGTTTTGTTTTGTTTTGGGTTCTCAACATTTCTTAATTCTGAACCCATTTTGGGGGTCTTTGAAAGACTCAGTATTTGTCACTGTTCCTTCTCAGCTGGGATTGTAAACAAATTGAAAACTAAGTTAAATAATAAGCATTTGGAAGCCAAAATACTAGCCTTATTACTGAGCTCAAGGGATCCACCTGCCTCGGCTTCCCAAAGTGCTGGGATTACAGGTATGAGCCACTGCACCCGGCCAACAATCTTATTTTAAAATAATGCATTGTAGTGAGCTGAGATCACAACACTGCACTCCAGCCTGAGTGACAGAGCGAGACTCCATCTAAAAATAAAATAAAATAAAATAAAATAAAATAAAATAAAATAAAATAAAATAAAATAAAATAAAATAGAATAATGCATTGTAAAGTGTTTTGGGTGCCACAAAACCCACACTACAAAGTATTGATGATATTTATGTCTGAGAGCTGGTTTTCTTGTAAACAGAATGTGGGACTGGTGTAGTTGGGTGGGGGTCAGTGGCCCAGAGCATGAGCTGAAACTTGTGATTCTGGGGAAATGACTACTGGAAATAGGGAATAAGCTGAGCAGAGTGGCTATAGGGGTTTTCATGGAGGACAAATTAATATGGCGAATTGCAAAATGCTAGTCATAGTTGGGTATTTTTTTCTTTTTTGTTCCCTCTCCCAGGATTTCTTTTTCTCTATTTTAAACCTTCTCCCAGCATCATAGTGGTTGGTTGCTATGAAGTAAATATTTCTGTGCCCCCCACCCCCAATTCATATATGAAATCCTAACCCTCAAGATTTTGGTATTAGGAAGCCATTTGGGATATAATTAGGTTATAAGGCTATATCTCTCATGAATGGGATTCACGTCCTTATAAATGAAACCCCAGAGAGCTCACTTGTCCCTTCCACCATGTGAGGACACAGTGAGAAGACACTGTCTAGAACCGGAAAGAGAGACCTCCCAGACGCCAAATCTACTGGTGATTTGACCTTGGATTTATCAGCCTCCAGAACTGTGAGAAATGCATTTCTGCGGTTTAAAAGCCACCCAGTTTATGGTACTTTTTTATAGCAACTCAATCAGCTTAAGACAGTGGTGGAAGAGAAAGGACAGTCAGGAGTGTCTTAATGTTAACAAGATGGACATTTCTCCCCCACGCCATATATCCTCCAATTTAAGAAAATTGATAGAGAGTGTGTAATATCTGCGTGGTAGTTTCAAAAAAAAAAAAAAAACAACAAAAAAGAAAATGTGGAAAGGCATTTTTTCATGTTTTTATCATCTTCTTCACTTGCTATTTTCTCCTAAATTAAACCACGTTGGGGAAGTATAATCAACAATATCTTCACTGTGGAGGGGATTTGAGGTAGAAGAACTTCTAGCAAACAGGGAGAATGTTTCGAGGGCTTTCTGGTGAGTAGTCCATTTTCTTGCCAGAAATGGGTATTTTACGGCAACAACAAACTATTTCCATTAAATTACATTATATGACATTAAATATTTTTCTTGGAAGATCTAATAAAGTTTAAAAAAGGACATAATATTCTTTCAAACTATTTTCAAAAGGTGTTTTTACAATTTTCTCTGTGTGTGTGTGTGTGTGTGTGTGTGTGTGTCTGTGTGTGTTTGTGTGTGACGGAGTCTTGCTCTGTCGCCCAGGCAGGAGTGCAGTGGCGTGATCTCGGCTCACTGCAACCTCTGCCTGCTGGGTTCAAGCAACTCTCCTGCCTCAGCCTCCGGAGTAACTGGGACTACAGGCTCCCGCCACCACACCCGGTTGATTTTTGTATTTTTAGTAAAGACGGGGTTTCACCATGCTGGCCAGGCTGGTCTCGAATTCCCGACCTCGAGTGATCCGCCTGCCTCAGCCTCCCAAATGCTGGGATTACAAGCGTGAGCCACCGTGCCCGGCCTAATTTTTTTTTCTAAAATAATTTTACAGCAGCCATTATAGCAATTATATCAAATGGCAATATTGCAACAGCTTAATCATTCGTGTGGCATTTCTAGGTGTTTTGCAGATTAGAACTTGATATACTAAAAAAAATAAGAGCAGAAAATAAATACTATGACTCAAATTCTGAGTTTTCTAAATATTTACTTACCATAATTTTGTATACCTTCTTGGTTAAAATGCATTTTAATGCACTCACAAAGGCATCTTTAATTATTAGCATTTTTCATGAGTAAAAATCCAAGTCTGTTTTCATGATCCGTCATACATCTGTGAGAAGAAATAGAAAAGTTTCAGGCCGGGCGCGGTGGCTCACGCCTGTAATCCCAGCACTTTGGGAGGCCGAGGCGGGTGGATCACCTGAGGTTGGGAGTTGGAGACCAGCCTGACCAACATGGAGAAACCCTCTGAAAGAAACAAAATTAGCCAGGCATCTCTACTGAAAAACTAAAATTAGCCAGGCGTGGTAGCTCACGCCTGTAATCCTAGCTACTCGGGAGGCTGAGGCAGAAGAATCACTTGAACCCGGAAGGCGGAGGTTGCAGTGAGCCGAGATCGCACCACTGCACTCCAGCCTGGGCGACAGAGACAGACTCCATCTCAAAAATAAATAAATAAATAAATAAATAAATAAATAAATAAATAAATAAGAAAGAAAGACAATTTTCAATTCCATCTTAAAGAGATTTTTGTTAGGTACAACTGGTATTTCACATTTTAAATTTGTGAAAAACTAAACAAAACCTAAACTAAGCTCAACAAAACCTAAAAACTATATGTTGACTTTTATTTTCAGCTTTGGAATCAAATGGATAGTTTAATATTGGTGACACACATGCCAGTCTTCCATAAAGGCAGAGCAAAGAAAGGAACATATAAAAGATACTAGATAAATATAGAAAAATATACGATAAATATTTATCAGATATTATGATAGAATGGCTTCCGTTTTGTTTTGCTTTGGGTTTACTTGCAAAAGCAGGAATACTCTCACTTGTATTTTGTTAATTAAAATATATATTGTTTATGTATACATGAAATTAAGCTTAATTATAATTATGCTTATCTTGAAAATATACATCAGAATTTGCGCAACACGTCCTTGTGTGCACATGTGCTCAAATACCTTCTTCCCTCTCTGCCCTGTGCACACGCTATACCCTGAATATGAGAAGCCACTTCGTTAAAATGATGATAATTTTAAATAATAATATGAACTGTTTTGCTGAATCTTGAGTTTATTTTTCAATGTTTTTTCTTTAACATTTCTAAATATGTGTTGACATTTATTTCTATATAGTTTCCATTAAGCTTTTACTTTTTTGTTATAAGTGCTGCATTAGAAAAAAAATGTGTTTCTTTAAATTGTTAATCTTTAATGATCATTTTGCTCATTTCAAAGTTGTAACATCTCAGAGCAAATAGCTTTTTAGATAGCTTTGCTGTTTTGCAATTTTTTAATCAGAAATTTCACTTTTATTTTCTCAATTTTTCTCTTTGAAATTAAAGAACTATATAATTATATCTTCATTTCTTTAAAATAGCACTTAAGACATTTGTAACAATTTTCAAATGCTTTCCGTGTTCTTACTCAGCATTTTGTTAGAGTTACCTAAACTTAAATTATTATTTTTCTTCCTGCTTCCATCAGCTGTGCTAAGAACCAATTCTGTGAGCTGTAATTGATGCATGTCTTTTCTCACATTCTTCTTCTTTTGCTTTGGAATTAGCCATAGTCTCTAACATAAATATTACTTCCTTTTGCTATGTTGCCTGTACTGCTGGCAGACTGCCTTCCACCTTGTTGGTAGCCTATTTTGGAATTTTATTGGCCCTAATGCATACATACTTTTGAAAAGTTTTAAGTGTTTTCTCTCCACACACCGCCCTGATATTATGTAGTATATGTTTCTCTTGTTTCATCATTAGCTTCTGAATGTTATTCCTTTAATTATCATTTTACTCCTCTTTTGCAACTGGTCCCTCTTACTATGCTGCTTTGAGAAACTGTCATTGTTAACATCACATGCCTGATTTCTTCCTAGGTCTCTTTAGAAAACCTTGAGAATCTCAAATCAATTTTTATTTCATTAATCAATAGATTCTAGTTCAAATATTCTTTACTGAGAGCTTTCTTGAGAGGCAACATGTTTAGGTGATAGAGAAGACAAGACTGCATACAAAATAGCTTCCACTGAAAGATGTTGCATTTTGAGTGAGTTAATTTGATTAAAGTAGAGAATGAGAGTTGGAAAACTAAAATACCTCAATGTCCAGAATTTTACATGTATTATCTGAAAACCAACTTTTATTTATTTTATTTTACTTTTTTATTATTTTATTTTTTGAGACAGGATATTGCTCTGTTGCCCAGGCTGAGTGCAGTGATATCGTTATAGCCCACTGCAGCCTCAAACTCCTAGCTTCAAAGGATTCTTCCACCTCAGCCTCCCAAGTAGCTGGGAGTACAGGTGCATGTCACCATGTGGGGATAATTTTTTTAAGTTTTTTGTAAAAACAGGGTCCAGGCTGGTCTTCTGCCCTCAAGGAATCCTGCCCTCAAGGAATCCTCCTGCCTCTGCTTCCAAAAGTGCAGGGTTTACAGATGTGAGCCATTGCACCTGGCCCCAAAAACTTTTATATTTGGTAAATTGTTCTTTAAAAACAAAACAAAATTCATGTTAATTTTAAAAGACTACAGAACTTAAATATATTTCTTCATTTTTTTGTCCAAAATTACTTGACCATAGACAAACGGTTTTGTGTCTGGAATCTCAATTCTATTCCAAAAATCTACAAGTCGATTCTTATGGTATGACCATACTTTTTTGAATACTATAGCTTATAAATAATTTTTAGAGTCAGATAATGTGAATGTTTCAATTTTATTTTATCTTATTTTTGAAGATTGTTATCTTAATCTGTTTTTGTTGCTATAACAAAATACCTTAGACTGGGTAAATTATAAAGAAAATTTTTTTCTTACAGTTATGGAGGCTGAGAAGTCCAAGTTCTACGGGCCACATCTGGCCAGAGCCTTATTGCTTGTAGGAACTACAAGGCAGTGCAAGGCATCACATGAAAATAGAACTCAGCACCCTACCTCAGATCTATCCACTTTTATAAAGCCCCTAATGACCGACCCTCATGACCTCCCCTAGTCATGATTACCTCCCAAAGGTTCCACTTCTCAAATACCACAACTGGATTTTCCACACTCTTAATACTGTTACAATGGGGATTAAGTTTCCACATGACTGTTGGAAGGGATATACATTCAAATGTTAGCATTCCATGCCTGGCCTCCCAAACTCAAATCCTTCTCTAATACAAATACATTCATTCTGTCCACACAGCCACAAGTCATTAAGTCATTTCAGCACCAACTCAAAAATTCAAAGTCCAAACTCTCATTTGCTAGTCTATGAAAACAAGTTACCTGCTTCCAAAATGCAATGGTGGGACAGGCATGGGTACACGTTTCCATTCCAAAAAGGAAAAATAGGAACTAATAGAGGAGTAAGAGCTCCTAAGTAAGTCTAAAACCCAACAGGATGGAGAAGATTAAATCTCAAGGATCCAGAATATTCTTCTTTGACTCCATGTTCTGCTCCTTGGAGATACTGGTTCAAGGGTTAGATGCCAAAAGCCTTAGGCAGTCCAAGCTCTGTGACTTGACTTTGCTGGGCTTAGTCCAGCAAGCTCTTATAAGTTAGCTAGTAGCTGCTTGTAGCTGTTGCATGCTAGTAGCTGTACAGTTCTAGATTCTCAGTGGCAGTCTTGCTCCCATGGCTCTGCTAGGCATTGCCTTGGTTGTGACTCTCTGCAGCAGCTCTGAACTCATATTTCTTCTCTGCATTGCTCTAGTGGGGCTCTGATCCTGCAACAAGTCCCTTCCTGGGCTCCACCCTGGTTGATACATCCTTTGAAATCTTTGCCATGTATTCTTAGCTCTCTCATTCTGCACACTTGCAGATTTCGTACCATGTGGACACCACCAAGTCTTACTGCTTGAGCTCTCTGGAACAGTGGCATAAGCTGCATCTGGGTCCAGTTAAGCTATGATGTAGTGTTTCCAAAGTTTACTTGCTTGCACCTTTTGGAGAGGCAGGTTGAGCCATAAGTGGGGCAACTGGAATCACAGCTGGAATGACTGAGTAGCACACCACTGGCGTGCAGAGAATAGTCATGAGGGAGTCCTGGGCAGTGAGACTCTGGAAGGCACTCTGGGACCATCCTGCAAAATCGTTCTTCCCTGATAGGCCTCTGAGACTGTGATGGAAAGGGGCAGCTTTGAAAATCTCTGAAATGCCTTTGGAGTCCTTGCGAATAACCTCTGGCTGCCTTCTAGCCCTATCAATCTCTTTAGCAAACAGTCACTTGGTCACATGCTTGGATTCCTCTGCTGAAAATGCTCTTTCATTCTCTACTACATAGCCAGGCTGAGAGTTTTCCAAATCTGTTTTGCTTTCCTTTTTATTATAAATTCTAACTAATTATTCCTGTCTTCCCAAATCTCAGTAGAAGTAGATGCAAGTATCCATGCAGATCCTTCTATATTTTGCTTATATTTTTTTCCTGCCAGAATTCCTAATTAATCATTTTTAAGCTCCTCATTCCATAAAGCGCTAGGATGTGAATCCAGTGCAGCCAAGTTCTTTGCAATTGTATAACAAGAATGACTTTTACTTCATTTCCAAATAATACACTCCTCATTTTCATCTGAGACATCATTAGAATGGCCTTTATTATTCACATTTTGGTTTCAGACATTTAACCAAACTCTAAGGAGTCCAAATTTTCCCTAATCTTCTTATCTTTTGTCTTTCCCAGAATCTAGGCTTTATCTAGCCTGCTCCTTCAAACTTTTTAAACTTCTGCCCGTTACTCAGTTCCAAAGCTACTTTCACATTTTAACTTATCTATACAGCAACAATCGCACTTCTTGGTACCAGTTTTCTGTGTTAATCTATTTTATGTTGCTATAACAGAATACTTAAGACTGGGTAACTTATAAATACAGGTATGGATATATGTATGTAAGTTTGACAGCTAGTTTTTTATGTTGAGAGTTCTATTATTTTGTTCAACTTTTTCTTAGTTTTTCTATTCATTATGAACAGTAGGTTACTGATATCTCTGAATATTTTTATTGAATTATCTGTTTTTTCCTTAATTTTTGTCATTATTTATTTCATACATTTTGATGATTTGTTACTAGGAGTATATATGTTTATAATTACTATATTACTGATAAATTAACGTTATATCATCAAAAAATGTCCAGGCCAGCATGGTGGCTCATGCCTGTAATCCCCGCACTTTGGGAGGTCAAGGCAGGAAGATTGCTTGAGTCCAAGAGTTCAAGATCAGCCTGGGCAACATGGCAAGATCCCATCTCTACAAGAAATAAAAAAAAAAAAAATAGCTGGGCCTGGTGGCACTCGTAGTCCCAGCTACTGAGGAGCCTGAGGTTCGAGGATTGCTTAAGCCCAGGAGGTTGAGGCTGTGGTGAGCCGTGTTCATGCCATTGCACTCCTGCCTGGGAACAAAATAAAACCAAAAATGTCTACCTTGATTTCAAGTAACATTTTCAGTTTTAAGGTCCATTTTTTTCTGCTATTAATATATCTACTCCAACTTTTATGTGTTTATATGTGTTCACACTTTTTATGTTTCCATGATATAGCTTTTCCTACCCATTTAACTTTCAAACTATTTGTGTCTTTGAATTTAAAGTGTGCCTCTTATAGACAGCATATATTGGATCATGTTTTTAAATCCAGTCTGGCAATCTCTGCCTTTACATTGTATTGTTTAATTCACTAACTTTTAATGTTATTATTGAAAGAGTTGAATTAGGTTTGCCATTTACTTTTTGTTCTCTATATATTTTGAGATTTTTTTGTTTTCAATTATTTGTTTACTGCTTTTAAATTAAGCATTTTAAAGTAGAATTTTAATATATTTAATAATGTTTCCACTAAGATTTCAAGTATTTTTTGACTTATTTCCTTAGAAGTTGCTGTAGAGTTTACCATATATGCCTTAGTTGATTAGAATCAGGTCCACATTTATACAAACTTAATTCCCATGAGATACAGGAATGTTACTATTTTATAGCTCTGTTCTTTCTCCTACTGTTGTGGTATTATTATCATACACATTACATCTATACATGTTTTAAACACAATAACATATCATTGTAATTGTTAATTTATATCATTCAACTACTTTAAAAGGAGTGGATTAGTTAGTATCTGTTGCCATTTTCTTACCCTAATAGAACTTTGCTTCTACCTACCTTCTTTATGTGTTGTTGTTGAATACATTATATTTCTATAAGTTATAGGCCAAACAATTCAGTATATACATATTGTTTATTGTAGTTTCTTTTAAAACCATTAAGAGAAAAAAGTGTAAAAAATATCTCATTAATTTTTACAATACTATGCAAAATTACCTTATAGGTGTTCTTTGATTTGGGGTGTAGATTTGAACTACCAACTGAGGTCATTTTCTTTCAGTCTGAAAAACTTCCTTTAGAATTTCTGGGAGCCTAGTATGCTAGGAAAACATTCTCTGTTTCTGTCTTTATTTCATCTTCACATTTGAAATATAGTTTTGTTGGGTATAAAATTCTTAGTTTAGAAATTTTTATTTGAGTATTTTGAATTTGTGCTTTTGGCTTCAATTCTTTCTACTGAAAAATTAGCAGTTAGTTTTACTTTGAGTACTTTATAGAAAACGAGTAATTTTTCCCTTGCAACTTTCAATATTTTCTGTTTTCGGCTTTCAGAATTTTTACTCTTATGTGTCTGTTTGTAGGGTCTTTTTTTTGTTTGTTCCTTCTACTGGTATTTGCTGAGCTTTCTGTTTGTGTAGGCTACTGTTTTTAATACATTTCAGAAATAACTGAAGTGAAAAATACACTAATGAGGCTAAACAGTAGATTTTATGAACTGGGCAAAGAAAGAATTACCAAACTTGAAGATCTATTGATACAGATATTGCCAACAAAAGAGAGCAAAAAGAATGGTTGAAAATAAAGCAAGCTCAGAGAGATGTGGAACACCCTTAAGCACACAATGTTATACACAATGCAAGTATCAGAAGGAGAGGAGAGAAAGAGATAAAGGACTTGAAAAAAGATTGAAAGAAATTTTGACTAAATACTTGAATTATAGCCTAATCTTGTGAATTCCCACAACCACCCTGGGATAATGGAAGTTTTGACAAGAATCCTTTTGACTGGCTTTTTTACTGGACACATCCAGTTACTAAGCTTTTCTGATTTCCAGCTTATTGCTCTAATTTTTAAAACAATACTTTGGGGTATTAACTGCTTAAAGGCTAATCCAATTAAATTTGAGTTTCTTTGAAGGCATAGTCCTCATGAACAGTGTTTGAAATTTGAACCTAGGAGGGTTCTTCCAAATTTTTCTTTTCCAGGTGTCTCTTGTAAACAAGACGGCATACTGTTTAACTTGCATCTCCAATCAGATTGCCAACCCCTCCAAATTGTCTTTCACCATAACCTGCACTCTTTTTGAAAGTGCCCTTAGGCTTGAACTTCTCCATGTTTTGTTACAAATAATTCTTTTAGGAGATTAGGAGCTATCAGTTTTATAGCCTGCTTTCCCCACCAAGGCAAAGTCACTGAGCAATCACTCTGGAGCTGGGGACAGAAAGAATGACATATTTCTCTTTGAATGGCACTGTTATTGTATGAGCTAAGCTCTGGGTTGAGGAGGCAGTAGCTTCAAGTCTTCTCAGCTTCTCAGGTCTTCAGGTAATCTGTGTGGAACCTTTGTTTTACATGCTTGAGCAAGGGCAACTGATGCCATAGCATTCTCAGAGGTGCTGTCTATCCCACCAATGGGGACTGAAAATAAAAAGAGACTTCCCCACTATTCGGCTATACTTGCCCAGAACTTAACCTCAGCAGTGGGTAGGAGGGAAAAATGATAACATGCTGACATATTGATCATGCAGGATGATAGCACTCTTACAGCAAAATGGGGAAAGAGGAAGCTCTATATTTTTGTCTACACCACTCTGGAGTAGTTTCCACCTCATTGAGCTAGGAGGTATGAGAAAGGGAGCTGTATTGGTTAAAATACCACCAATTCTTGTTCTTATCAATTCAAATACCTTTTTTTCTTGTTATGGAGGTGCTCTTAGAGTCATCCCCATAGATTTTATGTGTTGTCATTCTTTTAATAGTCTTCACAAATTTTGCTGGGGATTGGGAGTGGTGGGGAGGGCAGGAGCTTCCTCTTGCTGTCATACCAGACTCCACTGTCAAATCCATGTTATTTTAACCATACATATTTATAAACGTTTTTGCAACTGTCATGTACACTGGCCTATTTTGTCTAATGCAAACGTTAGTGCTAGAAGTAGGATGCCTCTTTTAAAAATTTTAATAATATATTTGGTTTTGTTTTCCTGACTGGGCAGTAAGTGATGAGGAAAGCAATAACCAAAGATTAATAAACTGCTATCTATGTTATCTGGTATTAGAATATTCACTAAAACTGTTAACCTAGACAAGTATGGAAGCAGATCATATGCCTAATAAGCTTATGGCTTTACGGGAATAAATTGAAACCAAAACCTTAAGGTATGTTGGTTGTTATCATGGAATTTGCAAAGTAATACAAGAGAGATATGAATTTCAAATTAACTACCAGTTTGAAAGGAGAAATAAAAGTGGTTAGAAAGATTTCAGAAATCTAAGGCCTTCCAATGTAAAGCCATTTGCTTTTGAAGTGAAAATAATGAGAGACGGACTTTACTTTGAACATCCAACATTTGGTAAAAATGTAGTTTGATAAATTTATTTTAGGGAAAAGATAAAATTAAGAACTTTCACCAGAGAAACCTCTCATCTAATACAGCATCCTTGTATATTCATCAAATTAAAATGTCCCCTACTCACTATAAATGTATAGCCTCAAAGTAACCACAATTATATTTAGAGAATAAGGCATTTGGATAAAAACACAAAAATAAAAATAAATATTTGGGAGAATCTCTGTAAAAATGTGACTATAGTTACTAGAACAAATAGAAATCCAATAAAGGTTCATTACCAAGACCATTGTCATGTAACGTTTTTCTTATGTTTTCTTCTAGGAGTGTTAATTTAAGTTTCTAATCCCATTAAAAATTGGACAAATGATTTAAATAGATATTTCTCCAAAGAAGACATACAGATGACCAACAGATATATAAAAAGATGCTTACCTTCACGAATCCTCAAGGAAATGCAAATTAAAATCACAATAAGATAGGCAATGAGCCTCTAGAATCTGTATGTAGAAATCCTTACTCCTAAGGTGAAGCCGTTACCAGGTGGGGCCTTTGGGTGGTGATTAAGTCATGGGGCAGAGACCTCATAAGTAGGATTATTCCCTTATAAAAGATGTTCAGGGGAGACCCCTCATCCCTTTTACAATCTGAGATTTAGAGTGAGCCTGTTTCTGAGAAAGCAGACCTTGGACAGACACTGAATCTGTTGGCCCCTTGATCTTGAACTTCCCAGTCTTCAGGCCTGTGAGAAATAAAAGACTGCTGTTTAAATGCTGTCCAGTCTATAGTATTTTGTTATAGTGGCCAGACTAAAACAGAGATACCACTACACATCTGTTAGAATGGTTATCATCAAAAAAATAAAAGACAACAAGTATTGGCAGAATGTGAAGAAACTGGAACCCTTGTGCATTGTTGGTGGGAATATAAAATGGTACAGTTGCTATGAAAAACAATGTAGAGTCTCCTCACAAAATTAAAAATGGAACTCACATATGATCCAGTAATTTCACTTCTGGGTATACATCCAAAAGATTTACGTCTTTGAAATCTGGATCTCTCATTGGAGCATAAGTCAATGAGATATAGAATCAATTGAAGTGTCAATTTATAAATGAACAGACAAATAAAATGTGGTATATATATGTATATAAATGTGGTATATATGTGTGTAAATATATATATACACACACATACATACATATACATGAAATGCTATTTGAGCCTCTAAAAAAAGTAAATTCTGTTGTATTCAACAATATGGATGAACCTGGAGGACATTATGCTAAGTGAAATGAACCAGTTGCACAGGACAAATACTGCATGATTCTACTTATGTGAAGTACCTAAAATAGTCAGCCTGATAAAGGCAGAGAGTAGAATGGTGGTTGTCACAGGCTGAGCAGAGGAAGAAATGGGGAGTTACTGTTTAATGGGTTTAAAATTTCCGTTGCATAAGATGACTAGGTTCTAGAGATCTGCAGTAGGACATTATGCCTGTAGTAAGCAATAATGTATTATGCACTTAAAAATGTGTGAAGAGAGTAGATCTCATGTTGAATGTTCTCACCTCAATAAAAAACACAAAATGAACTAAAAAATAAAATAAATAAATCCAGTAAAGTAGGAATATACTATTTTTTGAGAAGTTCATATTGACAATGAAAGCTTAATTAAATCTACTCTAAAAGTATGTGACTGTTTCAAACTTAAAACAGCAGTTGATTTGTAATACTTCAAAGGCTGTACACAGGCTGACATATCTCTGTAGCCCACAAAGAGGGTCGTATTCATCAATATCCCCTTCAGATGTGGCCGGTAAGATTAATAAAATAGGGAGAACTTTCCACAGGGAGGAGCCAGGGACCAACAAAAATAGATTTAGAGGCAGGGCCTCTGAAGCGGCCAAATCAGGGCTTAAGCTATGGATAACTGGGGAAGAGTTCTTTCCTGGTAGACCATGCCATCCTGTATAACCTGGTAACCACATTGGTTCAAATACCACAGATGCCAGCTCTTCTTACTGATTAAAGTTTTTTTTTTCATTAGCTGTATGTCCTTCAAACCATTCCACAGACTCTAAATTATTGAGTTTCGTTTGTTTGTTATATATAGATTCCCCAATTTTGCTGGGAAGTTGGTAGAGCTCCCTTGAAGATAGAGGAACTTCACTTTGTCTTCCTAACAGAAATTTCCGAATGTCAGTGGACCAGTACCTGATGTATTTCTCCATTTTGCGTTTCTGAATGTGGTTATCCCGCCTGTGATCTGCCACTGTGTATTTTCTGTGTATGATAGTGGAGAGGTGGTAGGCTTATGCTTTATCATTTTAGTTCATGATGCACTGGACCCAAAGGAGCCACATTTAGACATATGAAAAAATTACATCACCTGATGTTTTGTAATGTTCTAAATATTCCTCACTTGCTCACTCTAGATTGACTCGCCTCCCTTCTCCACTCTGAGGAGGTGCCATAAAATCACAGAGATTCTCTGCTTGGGCCTGCAGTTTACCCAGCATTCCTTTGAAATCTAGGTGGGGACAGCCATCCTCCCACAGCTTTTCAGGGCACACTGACCAGCCCTATCAGAGCCACTTCCGGGACAGCTGAGGAGCACTGAGACTGAGGCAGGCAACAGAGCCTGAGACTTGCTTTTAATAAATTGATAAACAGATATCATTTGCTTAACTATGTAAGCTGAAAGCAGTTTAAGAAAATCCACAATTAACAGTTGCCCGGGAATGCCGTGAGGAGGCAGGCACTTTCACTTACTGCTTGTAGGAGTACAAATAATTAGGCAACTTGGCAATAGATATCAAATGTATTAAAATTATGAAAGGTATGAATACTTCTCCAACATTTGGCTATTATAAACAATAATTTGTTGTATACAATAGCAGCTATTTTCATTCCAATATTTTAGGCAAAATATTACTCATTATCCTATTAATTTTTACCATCTTTATAAGCAGTAGTTATAATTTTTCATGTATTTATGGCTACATGTGTTATTATTTTGTGAAATGCTTATCTACCTTGATTTCACAGCTGCCTGTGTTTCCATTTAATGGGCAAAACTATTAATAACAAGTAAACTGTTTTTAACCTAAGTTTCTCCCCCATTTGCTCTGGAAACAAGACGAGAAAAGAGCTATCCATGTGCTTCTCCAAAATAATCTTTTGTTCAGCAACTATTAATGAGCACCCCCGTATATTAGGTACAGTGTTAGGCACTAGGGTAAAGTAATGAACTATAAATAAAACACGCAAACAAAGAAAAAAAATTCAGCCTTTACAGAACAGTTAATATTCTAGTTTATTTTAAACTACCAAACAGCTTATAGAATGATGTGGTTTAACTCTGTGTCCCCACCCAAATCTCATGTTGAATTGTAATTCCCAATGTTGGGGGAGGGACTTGGTGGGAGGTGATTGAATCATGAGGGCGGATTTTCCCCATGTTGTTCTCGTGATAGTGACTGAGTTCTCACAGGATCTAATGGTTTAAAAGTGTGTGGCACCTCCCCGCTCGTCTCCCCCTCTCTCTCCCCTGCCACCATGTGAAGAAGATGCTTGCTCCCCCTTCACCTTCTGCCATAATTGTAAGTTTCCAAAGGCCTCCCAGTCCTGCTTCCTGTTAATCGTGCAGAACCGTGAGTCAATTAAACCTCTTTTCTTCATAAATTACCCGGTGTCAGGTAGTTCTTTATAGCAGTGTGAAAACAGAATAATACTTAGACTGTGCAATCATATATGTTAAGTGTTAAAAATAGAAATACACCTCCACACTTTCCTGTCCCTCACTTTCTGTTTTAATAATTGTATAAACGAACTGTACTCCCTGCCTCTTCCCAACCAAACTTTTCTTCTTTTTGATAATGATAAAGCAATTATTAAACAATTAATTCCAGAGAGACTATGTTAAGGTAAAATATTTTTAATTCCTCAAACTCATCATTGGTTTATAGCCTACAGTATTCACTTATATCTAATAATTTTGCATCAGATACTGCATTTACCTGGGCATGCATTTAACTGTAACTGCAACAAATAAAACTTGCCCTGCAAGTCTTGGAAAATGAATGCAATGTTGAACTGTTTCCTACTATTCATCAAAGCCCAGGCCAAATTATATTTATGGAGCTGTTTCTCCCTCCTCTTCTTTTCTTTTATCTTCCTTCTTCTCTATCCTCCTTTTTCTTGACTAATGTGATATACTACAACAGATTTTGTATATATTTGTGCTTAAGTGTGTATGTGTGGAGATATATATCTATATTGTTTTGTGTAGTATTTTTTTCTTTGATTTTATGTGGGTCTTCTGGTATTTTGAAAAGTGCTTTTTAGTGCTTATCTTTGTAAAAAAACTTTAGTATTATCTTTCTTGTGTTTGTATGACATCTGTATACTTTTGTCAGTGAATTAGTCATTTTAAAAGATGCCCTTTGATTTCAAGCTATTGCCTATGGGGCAATAAAGATTATTTCAATATCCAAATTTATTTCTCTTTTTATTATTTTCACTTAATTCCTTTTAACATTGTAAGATACATAACATTTATGCCCCATCCTATTATTCTTATTCCTACCTTGATTTTTATATTGGTTCTTCCATTATACAATGAGAAATTCTCACTGTAGTGTTTTTCCCAGGGATTTTCCAGTTAGTCCATAGTTTACTGTAGTTTTTCTTCAAAAAGACTTCATATGTAAAATGTATGTTGCTATTCCATATTGAATACTGTTTTGTCGGTATTCTTTATACTTGGAAGACAAATTTGTTGAGTATAAGATCCTTGTGTCACTTTTCCCTCCCATAAGTCCTTTTGTAGATGTTGATCTATTGTCTTCCTGAAATGAACATTGCAGCCAGACTGATTATTTGGCCTTTCATTTTTAATCTGACTATCTGAATTTCTTTCCTTTATAAGTGATGTTATCTTTTTCACCTAGAAACCAAACAGATTGTTTCCTTATAAATCCAATAGCTCTACAAGAATATGTTTTAGTGCATTTCTGTTCCCTTGCTTTGATTTTCTCCTTCAAAACTCAACTTTACATAAACTGTGTCTTGGCTCCTGTATTTTCTGTCACTAACTGTTCACTGATTATTTTAATTTGGTTTTCTTAACTTTTTTTTTCTTATTTCAGTACTCTATGTGCCTTACTGTACAGTTTCCCTTCTTCTTATTGATCCTTCTATTAATTGGCCATTTTCCCCTGAGTTTCTATTGCTTTTCATAAAAAGTTGTGATTTAATCGTTAGTATTTTTGTATTAATGTTGGAATATTTGGCTAAAATCTTTATGTGCTTCTAGGTCTAGGTTTTCTTGTATGTGTTATTTTTCTAGTGTGGAATTTGGTTGCTGCCCCTCCCCCAACACATTTTCTTGCATTAATATTATACGGATGCTTTGACTATTTCTCTCTCAGCGGATTTTGATTTCAGTGGTAGTCTCTGACAAAAAATTAGCAGGAGATAACAATGGCCATTATGTAATTTTTAAGTATTGCTTCTTAATATTACTTACCTAATTTCTTTTTAGATGTGTATCATTTTTATTGTTATTAATTATTAATATATAATGCTTTTTTTGCTATTGATGATTGATGGTAAAGGTCATTTTATAAACAAATCAGCAACTATTTTGTTATATGCCTAGTAATATTTTTAATAGGTATAGTAATTTTTACAGGTAGTATTACTTTCTATGTCTTAAAGTCCTTAGTCACTGAAATTATAATCTTTTATCATTGATGATTCAGATAACATAAGCCTCTTTAAACATTGCAAACAGTATGGAGTTTAACACAGGAAATTAAATGCTTACAAATTCATTGAAAGGAGTGATGAGGAAAGGTCAAGGAAAGCCACCAATATATCTCAGGTTTGTTGCTAGCTTTTGGGGAATCATAAAGTTGCTATTTTCAACCCAGCTCAAAAAGTTCAGGAAATTATTGCTGATGGTTACTGCAGTGCTGGCTGCAGCACCAAAGTGAGTGATTCTTAGGGCAATAGACAATGGACACTAAAAAGTCTCACATCTATCCCATCTATGTGTCTGCCTGTTGTTGCAAGAGGAAGAATGATAACTGTGTTTCACTTCTGACTTCCAAATCCAACAAGAATCTCTTTCATTATTATAATCTAATAGAAGTTTTTCCACATGCATTCTGGGAAACTTATTTCCCAGCCATCGGTTTCTAAGTTAAGAATAGAGCATAGAAGGGGGTGAAAATGCTTCTAAGCACCAATAACCAATCTGACACAGTCCCCCCTTTTGGTTCCTCCATATCAATAGATAACCTTCTATTCATGCTTATGTGCAAAACAACAAATGACAGCAACATCATATGACTACTTAACATGATGTGACTAACAACAATGTCTTTCCTCTCTTCACCAAATTCTCATCAGTCACTGCATACAGAACTACATAGTGTTTATTCCTTTTCTAATTCAATCACAAGTCTACTTCTATATCTGGTAACAAAAGATTGAATGATAAAATTCACTTCTACCAAATCACTTTATATGTAGTTATGTGGAAAAAAGAAAGGCAATTGGTAAGATGCAAAACAATGAAGAAAATATGCATATTACTATAGTTCTTACTTAGCAAATGGCATTTATGTATTTTAAAATGTGCAGTGCATTATTGTTTATTATAGTTACCATTCTGTTTAATTGATCACTAAAGCTTATTCTTGATGTCTAATTGAAATTTTTTTCATATATCCCCTTTCCCCATCTAAGCTCCTCTCTCAGCCTCTGCTAACTGCCATTCTACTCTCTACTCCTATGAGTTCATTTTTTTTTTTTTTTTTAGATTCCACATATAAGTGAAATCATGTAGTAATTGTCTTTTTGTTCCCGGCTTATTTCACTTAGTGTAATGTCCTCCAGATTCATCAAGTTGCAAATGACAGAATTTCCTTCTTTAAAGCTGAACATTATATATATATATATATATATATATATATCACCTTAAAAATCCATCCATATGATGATGGACACTTAGGTTGATTCCTTAGCTTAGCTATTGTGAATAATGTAATGAACATGGTAGTGCATATATCTTCTTAGCATATGGATGTTAGTCCCTTTGGATATATACCCAGAAATAAGATTGCAGGTTCATATGGTAATAATATTTTTAGTTTTCTTAGAATACTTCATATTGTTTTCCATAATAATTATATTAATTTACATCCTTGCTTACAATGTACAAGGATTCCCTTTTCTCCACACCCTAATCAACATGTATTATTGTTTTGATAATAGCCATTGTAATGTGTATGGGATCTTATCTCATTGTGGTTTTAATTTGCATTTTCATTATGATGAGCGATGATGAGCATTTTTTCCATAAACCTGTTGACCATCTGTGTATCTTCTTTTGAGAAATGTCTAGTTAGGTTCTGTGTTCATTTTTTAATTGGGTTGTTTGTTTTCTTGCTTTTTTTTCACTGTGTTTCTGAGGTAATATCCAAGAAATACTTGCCTAGGCAAATGTCCTGGAATATTTCCCCTCTATTTACTTCCAGTACTATTACAGTTTCAGATCTTATGTGTAAGTCTTTAATCCATTTTAGTTGATTTTGTATATGGTGAGAGATGTGGGTCTAATTTCGTTTTTTTGTGTGTGGGTATCCAGTTTTCTCAATGCTATCTATTGAAGTCTGTCCTTTTTCTATTATATGTTCTTGGCATTTTATAAAAAATCAATTAACCATAAATGTGTGAGTTTATATCTGAGCTCTCTATTATGTTCCATTGGCCAATGTGTCTGGTGTTTTTTTTCCTCAAATTTATTCATTTTAAAACTGACATAAACAATGTATTTATAGCATACAACATGATGTTTTGCAATATTTACACATTGTGGAATGATTACATCGACCTAATTATCAAATGCGCTATCTCACATAATTATCATCTTTGTGATAAGAACACTTAACATCCACTGTCTTAGCATTTTTTGATAATACAGTATGTCATTATTAACTATAACATCATCATACTGTACAGTAGATCTCTTGAAGCTATTCCTTTCAACTGTAAAGATGTATTATTTAATTAACCATTGGTCAATGTGTCTGTTTTTATGACAACACCATGCTATTTTGATTACTATAGCTTTGTAATGGATTTTGAAGTAAGGTAGTGTGATGCTTTCAGCTTTGTTCTTTTTGCTCATGATTATTTTGTGTATTCAGGGTCTTTTGTGGTTCCATATGAGTTTGGGGATGGTTGTTTCTATTTCCATAAAAGGAAGCATTGGAATTTTGATAGAAATTGTATTGAATCTGTAGATTATTTGGAGTAGTATGGACATTTTAACAATATTCATTATCTCAATTTGTGATCATGGAATTTCGCCTTTCCATTGGATTGTGTCTTCTTCCATTTCTTTATTGTTTGCAGATTTCAGTATACAGATCTTCCACTCCTTGGTTAAATTTTACTACTAAGAGTTCTTTTAAAATGTTGTGAATGAGACTGATTCTTTAATTTCTTTTCCAGATAGCACATTGATAGTATAAATAAATTCTGAATTTTGCAGCTTGATTTTAAGTCCTGCAACTTTACTCTATTCTTTTATGAATTGTACCAGATATTGTTGGCCTTTTAGGGTTTTGTGTGTACAAGAACATGTCATCAGCAAATAGAGAAAATTTCACTTTGTTCTTCCCCTTTGGATTCCTTTTTCCCCTTTTTCTTGTCTAATTGCACTATCTCGAACTTCCAATACTATTTTGAATAAAATTCCCATTCTTCTTGACTCATTTGTTCAGAGGTTTTATTATGAAATAATGTTGAATTTTGTCAAATGCTTTTTCTACATCTATTCAGGTAATAATAAGGTTTTTGTCCTTCATTTTGTTAATATGATGTATCACATTTATTGATTTGCATATGTTGAAACTTCCCTGCATCCTAAAGATAAATTACACTTGATTATGGCAAATGATACTTTTAATGTGCTGTCGAATTTAATTTGCCAGTATTTTGTCAAGAATGTTTGCATCTACGTTCAACAAGTATATTATCCTGTAATTTTCTGTTGTTGTAGCATTCTTATCTGGCTTTGGTATTAGGCGTAATGCTGACCTTGTAAAATTAGTTTGGACATATTCTTTCTTCTTCAATTTTTTGGAAGTGTTTGAGAAGGATTGCTATGAATTAGTCTTTAAATGTTTGGTAAAATTCTACCATGAAGCCATCTGGTCCTAAGCTTTTCTTTGATGAGAATTGTTTATTATTATTATTGATTTAATCTCTTTACTAATTATTGGTCTGTTTAGATTTCTATTTCTTCTTAATGTATTCTTACTAAGTTATACGTTTATAGGAATTTATCCACTTCTAGTTTACCCAATCTGTGGGTGTATAATCATTCATAATGGTCACTCATGATCCTTTGTAATTTTGTGATATCAGTAGTAATTTCTCCTATTTCATTTCTGATTTTATTTACTTGAGTCTTCTCTCTTTTTGTAGTTAATCTGGCTAATGTTTTGTCAATTATGTTTATCTTTTCAAAAAACCATTTCTTTTTATTGTTGATATTTCTATTGTTTTTCTACTCCCTATTTCATTAATCTTTATGCGCTCCTTCTTTCTAATGATTTTGAGTATAATTTATCTTTCTTTTATAGTTCCTGGAGGTGTACTATTAAATCGCTTATTTGGTTTCTCTTCTTTTTTTATGTAGGCATTTATTGCTGTATACTTCCTTCTCAGAACTGCTATTGCTGCATCTCCAAAGTTTTAGTATGTTGTGTTTTTACTTTTGTTTGTCTCAGGATTTTTTGATGTCCCTTTCAATTTCTTCTTTCACCTTTGGTGTTGCAGAAGCATGTTGTTTTATTTCCGTATATTTGTAAACTTTCTAATATTTCTCCTGTTACTGATTTCTATTTTCATTCCATTAGAGTCAGAAAAAAATACTTGGTATGATCTTAATCTTCTTACATGTGTTAAGACTTGTTTTGTGGCCTAATGTATAATCTATTGCGGAAAATATTCCATGTGTCGTTAAAAAAAGATGTATTCTGTTTCAGTTGGATGGAATATTCTATGTATGTCAATTAGGTCTACATCCAAAGTGTTATTCAGTTCCACTATTTTTCCAATGATTCTCTGTCTGGATGATCTACGCAATGTTGAATGTGGAGTACTGAAGTCTCCTACTATGGTCTGTTTAGATTTCTATTTCTTCTTGATGTATTCTATCATGTATTCTATCTATATATAATATTATTATATTGCAGTCTATCTAACCCTTCAGATCTATTAGTATTTGCTTTATATGTATAGGTGCTCTGATGTAGGTGCATATATATTAAAAACTCTTATATCCTCTTGCTAAATTGACCCCTTTATCATTATATGTTGACTTTCCTTGTCTCTGTTTACTGTTTCTGACTTTAAGTCGATTTTGTCTAAGTGTAGCCACGCCTGCTCGCTTTTGATTATCATTTGCCTAAAATATGTTTTCCTTACCTTCACTCTCAATCTATGTTTATTGTTAGAACAAATTTTTTAAAGAGACAGGATCTTGCTATATTGTCCAGGCTGGAGTTCAGTAGCATGTTTAGAACTCACTGTAGCCTCAAACTTCTGGGATCAAGCTATCCTCTTGCCTCTGTCTCCTGAGTAGTGGGGACTATCGGCATGCACAACCATGGCTGGCTAACTTAAATTTTTTTTTGTAGAGATAGGGTCTTGCTATGTTGCCCACACTAGTCTCAACTCCTGGCCTCAAGCAATCCTCCTCTCTCAGTGTCTCCAAATGCTAGAGTTATAGGTATAAGTCACTGAATCTGGCCTTATGTTTGTTCTAATGGCTAACGTGAGTCTGTTGTAGGCAGTGTTTTGATAGATCTTTGGTTTTTCATTTTTTAATTTTTTTTAATCCATTCATCTTCTCTGTGGCTTTTAAATTGAGAATTTAATCCATTTACATTTAGACTAAATGTTTTGAAATTATTTTGTTCCTTTATTTCACTCTGGCTGTATTTGTTTATGATTTGTTTTAATCTTGTAGTGGTATAATTTATTTCTTTCTCTCTGTATTTTGTGTATTTAGTAGTTTTTGTTTTGTTTTTGTTTTTGTTTTTTTTTGAGACAGTGCCTCATTCTGTCGCTCAGGCTGGAATGCAGTGGCACTATCTCAGCTCATTGCAACCTCTGCCACCCGGGTTCATGTGATTGTCCTGCCTCAGCTTCCTGAGTAGCTGGGATTACAGGCACATGCACCATGCCTGGCTAATTTTTGTATTTTAAGTAGAGATGGGGTTTCACCATATTGGTCAGGCTGGTCTCAAACTCCTGACCTTGTGATCCTCCCGTCTCAGCCTCCCAAAGTGCTGGGGTTACAGGCATGAGCCACCACACCCTGCTGAAGTTTTTGCTTTATGGCTACCCTGAGACTTACATAAAACACCGTCATATTATAATACCCTAATTTAAGCTGACAGTGACTTAACTTCAATTGCATACAAGACACTGCACTTTTAATTCTTTTCCTCCACAGGCTATGCTATTGATGTTGTATTTTACTTTAACATTTTATGCTATTAATATCATGCTATGGATGTATATTTTGTATCTGTTAATCAATCATAGCTTTTTTAAAAAATGAATTTTGTTTTTAACTCTTACACAAAAGAGTGATTTACAGACTACCTTTATAATATTAGAGTATTCTGAATTTGACTATATATTTACCTTTGCCAGTGAGTTTTATACTTTCATATGCTTCATATTGTTGCTTATCATTATTTTGTTTTAATGTGAAAACTTCCTTTAGCATTTCTCATAAGAGTAGTTTCATGGTGATGAACTCCTTCAGTTTTTTGCTTGTTTTGAATTTTTTTAACCTCCCCTTCATTTCTTTGTTTTGTTTTGTTTTTTGTTTTCAATATTTATTTATTTTGTATTTTCTATTTCTGAGATGGAGTCTTGCTCTGCTGTCCAGGCTAGAGTGCAGTGGTGTGATCTTGGCTCACTGTAGCCTCCACCTCCTGAGTTCAAGTGATTCTCCTGCCTTAGCCTCCCGAGTAGCTGGGACCACAGGCGCCCACCATCACACCCGGCTAATTTTTGTATTTTTAGTAGAGACGGGGTTTCACCATGTTGGCCAGGCTGGTCTCAAACTGACCTCAATTGATCCACCCACCTTGGCCTCCCAAAGTGCTGGGATTACAGACCTGAGCCACAGCGCCCAGCCCTTCAGTATTTATTTAAATTTGCCTGCTGGCTAACTTCTCATTGCACCTAGGCTCTAGTGTAATTAAATTACTTCATTCTCTCTTTTTAAAACTTTTTTCTTTTTTCTTTTTTGTGTTTTTCATTCTCTTATCTACGAGAGCCACAATACTTGAAGACACCAATTGATACCCCTTAGTCACATCTGAGCTAAACACTTTCAGTTCCTACAGCTGTTTCTTTTTTTCTCGCTTTTTTTTTTTTTTTTTAATTGATTATTCTTGGGTGTTTCTCTCAGAGGGGGATTTGGCAGGGTCACAGGACAATAGTGGAGGGAAGGTTAGCAGATAAACAAGGGAACAAAGGTCTCTGGTTTTCCTAGGCAGAGGACCCTGCGGCCTTCCGCAGTGTTTGTGTCCCTGAGTATTTGAGATTAGGGAGTGGTGATGACTCTTAAGGAGCATGCTGCCTTCAAGCATCTGTTTAACAAAGCACATGTTGCACCGCCCTTAATTCATTCAACCCTGAGTGGACACAGCACATGCCCCAGAGAGCACAGGGTTGGGGGCAGGGTCACAGATCAACAGCATCCCAAGGCAGAAGAACCTCTCCCAGTACAGAACAAAATGGAGTCTCCTATGTCTACTTCTTTGTACACAGACACAGCAACAATCTGATTTCTCTATCTTTTCCCCACCTTTCCTCCTTTTCTATTCCACAAAACCGCCATCGTCATCATGGCCTGTTCTCAATGAGCTGTTGGGTACACCTCCCTGACGGGGTGGTGGCCGGGCAGAGGGGCTCCTCACTTCCCAGAAGGGGTGGCTGGGCAGAGGCGCCCCCTACCTCCCGGACGGGGCGGCGACCGGGCGGGGGCTGACCCCCTACCTTCCTCCCGGACGGGGCGGCTGCCAGGCGGAGATGCTCCTCACTTCCTGGACGGGGCGGCTGCCGGGTGGAGGGGCTCCTCACTTCTCAGACGGGGCGGCCGGTAAGAGACTCTCCTCACCTCCCAGACGGGGTCGCGGCTGGGCAGAGACGCTCCTCACATCCCAGACGGGGCTGCGGGGCAGAGGCGCTCCCCACTCAGACGACAGGCGGCCGGGCAGAGACGCTCCTCACTTCCTAGACGGGATGGCGGCCGGGAAGAGGCGCTCCTCACTTCCCAGACTGGGCAGACGGGCAGAGGGGCTCCTCACATCCCAGACGATGGGCAGCCAGGCAGAGACACTCCTCACTTCCCAGACGGGATGGTGGCCGGGCAGAGGCTGCAATCTCGGCACTTTGGGAGGCCAAGGCAGGCGGCTGGGAGGTGGAGGTTGTAGCTAGCTGAGATCACGCCACTGCACTCCAGCCTGGGCAACATTGAGCCCTACAGCTGTTTCTTAATCTTAGGTCACATGGTTTCTTCCCATGCTGTTCTTCCCAGACAGCATTTTTTTTTTTTTTTGAGAGTCTCACTCTGTTGCCCAGGCTGGAGTGCAGCAGCACGATCTCAGTTTACTGCAACCTCTGCCTTCCAGGTTCAGGCGATTCTCCCCTTCATTTCAAAAGGACAGTTTTGCAAAGGATAATTTTTCTGTTTGGCTTCTCTTTTTTTCCTTTAGCACTTTGAATATGTCATCCCATTTTCTCTTGGCTTGAAAGATTTCTGTTGAAAATCTGCTGATGGCCTTATGAAAGATTCTTTACATGTGACAAGTTTCTTCTCTCTTGCTCTTTTGAAATCCTCTTTGACTTTTGGCAATTGGATTATAATGTGTCTTGGAGTGTTCTTTTTTTGATTTGATCTTGCTTACCATGCTTTGGACCTCCCGAATCTGCATGTCCACATCATTTCCAAAATTTTAGAAGTTCTCAGGCAATATTTCTTAGAATAAGCTTTCTTCCCCTTTCTATTTCTCTTCTCTTTCTGGTACTACCATAATTTATATACTTGCACATTTTGTTATGTTCTGTAGGCCCATATGTTTTTATTATTCTTTTTATATATATTTTTCTTTTTGTTCCTGTAATTGGCTAATTTCAAATGACCTGTTTTGAGTTCACTAATTCTTTCTTCCACATGGTTGAGTCTGCTGTTGAAATTGTCTGTTGAGTTTTTCAGTTCTGTCATTGATTTTTCTCAGCTCCAGAGATTCTTCTGTTTTTTTCTTGGGGGTGGGGAGTTGTTTCTATTTAATTATTAAACTTCTTATTTTGTTAATGCATTATTTTCTAATTTTATTTAGTTGTCTATATATTGTTGCATCTCACTGAGCTTCAAGATGATTATTCTGAATTTTTTTCCTGGCAATTCGTATATCTTCATTTCTTTGGAGTTGGTTATTGAAGCTTTATTGGTTTTCTTTGGTGGTAATATGTGTGCTTGATTCTTTGTTATCCATGCAGTCTTGCATTGGTGTCTGTATACTGGAAGTAGCAAACCCTTCTTTCATTGTTTACAGACTGGTTTCAGCAAGGGAAAATAATCTGTTTGGTCTCTGGGCTGATGGGATTGCCTGTGGGATAGCAGTTAAGTGGGATTGCATCTGGGTCTCATGGCTGATGCTGCATCTGCAATGGAGAATGCAGTGAGCAGGTCTGTTACCAGGGGCTCTATTGCATGTGGGTCCTATCTGGTCCCTGGGTAGACTGGACTTTCTCCAGTCCTTTGGTCTATGGATCTGTGCTATAATTAAGTCTCATTTCAGGGTTTGCAAATGGCAGGTCTGTTACCACATGCATGATGGATGTGGTTTTCACCAGGTCTCTGGAAGGGCTCCTGTTATATCACTGGATGAATCCTTGGGCTGGCTGTACTTTTCAAGTTGATGGCTAAAATGAGCTGGAACTGAGGCACGAGTTTATATGAGGCCACAGCTGAGACCGAAATCTTTAGGCCTGTCTCTGAGGCCATTAATAGGGTGTCTCCCAGCAGTTTTCCGAGTGAGCAGGCCTGCTTTCATACTGCAGTTGAGAAGTGATTGATAGAGCCAATTTCCAGGGCCACTTTAGGATTCACAGTGGGACTGAGGTCAGTGTGTCAGCCTGCAGAGCACTGTGGGACATGCCCCCTTCTGGGTCTCCAGGTGGACAGAACTGCTCTAAGTCTACAAACAAGAGGGACTGGGCCTGAGATCCAGGGCATTTGAGGATCTGCTGTGGGACAAATTGCCAAGCCTTCCACAGGAACTCAGACAGGCATATCTCAAAGTAGGATTCTTCCTGGGCAAACCTACTCTCAGATCACAGTTGAAAGATGGCTAAAACTGAGCGTCTGGGTTATTTCAGAATTTTCTGTGGGACCAGAATTGGCAAGCCGAGCCCATGTCACTGGTGGGCAAGACTCCTAGCATATCTCTATGTGGGCAAGATTGCTCCCAGACTGCCATTGTAAGGAGATGGAACTGAAATTCAGGGCCTTTTTAGAATCTAATATGGAATGGAGTTTGGCAAGCCTGACCAGGAGTCTCCCAGCAATTACCTGCATAGACAGGATATTAGTTAGTACTTAAAACTCTTTTCTTTTACTTTCCATTCCATTTCATGTTCCATTTGTCCACAATTAACTCCCCCCAAATTTACAACACATTGCTTAGTATGGGGACTTAATTTTTTATTCCCAAAGTGTTTGATCTTGCCTATATTTGATTGTTGTCATTTATTGTTGTTTATCACTAGATATGGAAATATTGAAAGACACCTCAGAGAAACCACTGGTTTAAAAACGTAACCCTTTCAGACTCTATTGATTAACAGAAATCCTGCTGCTTCTTTATGAATTAGAATTAGAATTATGACTGCAAACATTTAATACATCTTCTTTTACCTATTGGTTCTGTTGTATTAGGAACCCATAATGGTGAGGTAGTTTTCCCAATTTCCAGTTCATTGAAATGGTCATTGTGCCCTTGTAAAAGTTTCTTTTTTTTTTTCCTTAGGAACATAGATCAAGAAATCATCAACACAGTAAATTATAGGAATGGGAATTTTAAAATTTTGGAGGGAAGTTTTCAGGGTTATAATAAAATAAGTCATTCTCATTTTCAACAATCCATTTCCCAATCTTTTTTTTCTTTTTTTGGCTAGAAGAGAAACAGGTACCTTTTTTTTGTCATCAGAGCATAAACTAAAATTTGTAGAACATTTCTCCAAACCCACCAAGTGTTATTATATGCAAAATGTCATATTTAAGTCTTCTATAAGCTGTCCCACTATATTATTAGCCTCATCACTTCTTCTTTTTTTTTTTTTTTTTAAGGAATGTTGCTTTATCACCCAGGCTGCTGAAGTGCAGTGGCACGATCTCAGCTTACTGCAACCTCTACCTCCTGGGTTCAAGCAATTCTCCTGTCTCAGCCTCCCAAGTAGCTGAGACCACAGGCACATGCCTTGATGTCTGACTATTTTTTGTATTTTTAGTAGAGATGGGGTTTCACCATATTGGTCAGATTGGTCTTGAACTCTTGACCCGAGGTAATCCACCTGCCTTGGCCTCCAAATGTGCTGGGATTACAAGTGTGAGCCACTGTGCCTGGCTATGCTCACTTCTTCAGGATGATGGGGTACATAGTGATGTGAGTGATTCCCCTGAGAATGAATCTATTGCTTTACTACCTTGCTGTACATAAGCGACATAGGTTATCAGGGCAGCAAATCATTCATTTTGTGAATTCATAGATGAGAATGAGGTCCAAACATTGCAGACGGAGAAGTGGCGATACCGGTGGGGACAAATTGCTGCCACCCCTGTGACTGAAAACTAAAAGTTTATTAAACTGACACCAGAATTTACTGCTATATTTTCCTTCAGGAATATATACCATATGAAGGGCTTCTCTTTGGTTCTTGCTATGGGCATTTTAGTCATTAAGCAGTGGAGGTAGCCAGATTTACCTTGGTGAGGAGAAGTTTATGGACTTGAGGCTACACCACTTCTATACCAGCATTCATTCTCAGTTTGCTAATGATTCCACTGAATAAGCTAAAGGTAACAGGTAAAGAGGTTGGTGGACATTCACTGAATGAGAAATCTTACTATGTGATTATTGCAGATTTCTTTCACAGCATTTGTTTTTGAAAATATATACACAGATACTATATATATTTACCTACTTTGCCAGTTCTTGAGTTTTCTCCTTAATCTACACTAAACTTTTTCCCAGCCTTATAATTGTACAGTTTCTAAGGTATTTGTCATCCGCATAAATTATTAATCAACACATCTGATTGTTAGTATGGATGAATTAAGGTTCAAATGAATTATTGGAACCTCTGGGCAATTTGTTTCTCAAATGAAGTGAACAAACAGATGCCATACTCAAGGTTCTGCCCCCAAGGGGACTTCGCTGTTATATTTTATGTTTATGATGGCCAATTTTATGTGTGAACTTGACTGGACAGCAGGATGCCAAACTATTTGGCCTAACCTTATTCTGAGCATGTCTTTAATGGTGTTTTGAATGAGACTAACATTTGAATTGGTAGAATAAGTAAAGCAGATTGTCCTCCTTAATGTAGGTGGCCCTCATCTAATCAGTTGAAGGCCAGAAGAGAACAAAAAGGCTCATCCTCCCACGTTTAAGAGGGAACTCCTCCCGCCTGACTACTTAAGCTGAAACATCTGCTTTTCTTGCCTTTGGACTTGAACTAAAACTCAGCTCTTCTTGGCTCTTGAGCTTGCATATTCATGGGCTAAAGGACCAAAACTTACATCATTGGCTCTCCTGGTTCTCCAGCTTGCTGACTGCAAATTTGAGACTTCTGAGTCTCCCTCTCAATCAGTTTAGGTTGCTATAACATAATACTATAGATTAGGTGGCTTAAACAAGAAATATTTATTTCTCACAACTCTGAAAGCTGGAAGTTCTAGATTAAGGTTCCAGAATGGTTGGGTTCTTGGCGGCAGCCCTCTTTATTCCTAATTATGTCATCACGTGGCCTTCTTTGATGAATGCATGCTGAGAAAGGGGGTGGGGTGGGGAAGGGGGATACAGAAGGAGAGAGAAAGAGAGAGAGAGATAGAGGGAGAGGAGGAGAAAAAGAGAGAGAGAAAGGGAGAAGGGGAGAGAGAGAGACAGAGAGAGAGCGCTCATCTACTTCTCTTTTATAAGGGTGTTAATCCCATCATGAGGATTCCACCCTCAGAATCTAATCAAATTTTTATTACATTTCAAAGGCCCTACCACCAAATAGGATTACACTGGGGTTTGGAGTTTCAAGATATAAATGTAGGGGTTGGGGCACAAACATTTGGTCCACAGCAGCCTCCATAACCCCATAAGCCAATTCCTATCAGAATGGTTGTTTTTTTCTTTACCAGTCAATTGTTTTTTATGAAATCCCCTATGAGGCCATTGGATATGGACTGAAGAAGAGGTGGAAATTCAGGCAAAATAGATCTCATGAGAGTCTGAAATATTTGATCATAAAACTATTTGTGGTATCAGAATCTATAACAGCCCAACTGTAGGGCTTTATGGATCGGATAATAGCTAATTGTAATCATGTTGGAGAGCTCAGACCGTATGGTTACTAGGTAAGATAGCCCATCAAATCTCTACTGTGGGTTTCATAGCAAAGTTGATGTTTTTTTTTTTTTTTTTTTTTTCTTAAGGAGTTGTTATTTGTAGAAAAAGACATGGCTTTGCTCCCAAACCTAGATGTTTGCCAGGTTTTTATTCCCTGTATGAATTTGTACAGATATTGTATGTACTGTTGGATGTATTGAATCATAAGCTAGCACTTCAGTCTTATTTTGTTATAGACACCAACAAAAATAGCAACCTATGGAATTCTTATGAAATAGGTTAGTAATTAAAATTATTTATTTATTCATTTTGCTATTCTCCACCATGACCACTCAAATAAAGTCTCCAGATAGAGGATTTTATGATTTTTTTTCTAAACATTACATAACATGTTGGTATATTGGTTCATCTTTTTCAGTTCTAGAGTCTTTATGATCAATTTGCTACTTCCAAAGATACCCAATGTGAAAATTATTAATATTGCTATTTCAGTACCGCTGTCCATTTCAGTAACCATATTGGTTGTTAAATCAGTGGCTGTTAAGTGCTATAATTTGGCTTTGTCTACAGTGGGATACTGGTATGCCTATTAACATCAAGGAGCCCAGTCCTCATTAGTTAATCCATGCCTCATGAATACATCCAATGCAGAGAATGCAGAGTGCTTCAAGGGCGCTGGTACTTCCCTCACAAAAATATTTTCAATGCTTTCATGACAGGAATGTCCTCTGAGGATCTTCCAAGAGATAACAGAAATAATAAACCCATTTAAACATCCCTATATTTTTTAGCTTTGGCATTTGTTTATGAACATTAAGAAAGTTACACTAACTCAAATTCCTTTAACATAGGATACCATTTAGGTTGGATTTTGATTATCCAATCAAGCACAATAAGCCAATTAATACATTTATTCCAGAATCCCTAGTTAGTGTGTTCATACTTTCACATTCAGCCACTTTAAATGCATTTTTCTTTTCTTTTTCTTTTTTTAGACATATAGTAAGTATAACAACCATTCCTGTAATAAGTTCCTTAGAAACTAAGAATGAGATTTTTTTCAGATAACATAGAACATCTCAAACCAAAGAGCAAAATATCTACCTGTACTTCCATTAAAATCAGTTAAAAATGTCATGTATTATAATTTTTATTTGACATTGTTCTAGAGGTTACAACCAATGCATAAGATATGAAACAGAAATGTTGTATACAATAGACAGAAAATAATTTTCAGAAAAAGATAATATGCTTTGAAAGTGCAAATGAATTAATTAAAATTATTGAAAAAATAATCAAAGGATCGATATATTAGATGGATTTCAAGAACTTCCTTTTACATTAGACATGACTAATTAGGAAATAACATGGAAAATATTCCATCCACTAGATAAATAGCTATTAATGGAAATATTGCAAGAGTGATGAAATGTCTAAGTCATTATTTTTAGTTGGTAATTGTTGATAAATTTTGTTTCTTCTGTAGTTTTTATTATTTTATATTTTCTATATTGATCAAGTATAGCTTTTAGAATAAAAAGGCAATAAAACATTTAATAAAGCATTACTTTGTGTACACCTATACTCTTAGCTACTGGGGAGGCTGAGGTGGGAGGATGACTAGTACCAAAGAGGTAGAGGCTGCAGTGAGCTATGATTGCAACACTGCACTCCAGCCTGGGTGACAGAGCAAGACCCTCTCTCTAAAAAAAAACAAAGAAAATATTACCTTAGTAAGAAGTGACTTTGGGGACCTCCTCAGTTCACACTTGTAGTCTGCAAGCCATATTGTGAGAATCCCAGCTCTTAACTTCTTTTTTTTAAAATTTAATTTTATTTTATTATTTATTACTTATTATTTTATTATTATACTTTAAGTTTTAGGGTACATGTGCACAACGTGCAGGTTTGTTACATATGTATACATATGCCATGTTGGTGTGCTGTACCCATTAACTCCTCATTTAGCATTAGGTATATCTCCTAATGCTATCCCTCCCCCCTCCCCACACGCCAAAACAGTCCCCGGTGTGTGATGTTCCTCTTCCTGTGTCCATGTGTTCTCACTGTTCAATTTACACCTATGAGTGAGAACATGCAGTGTTTGGTTTTCTGTCCTTGCGATAGTTTGCTGTGAATGATGGTTTCCAGCTTCATCCATGTCCCTGCAAGAAAAAAACAAACAACATCATCAAAAAGTGGGTGAAGGATATGAACACACACTTCTCAAAAGAAGACATTTATGCAGCCAGAAAACAGATGAAAAAATGCTCATCATCACTGGCCATCAGAGAAATGCAAATCAAAACCACAAAGAGATACCATTTCACACCAGTTAGAATGGCGATCATTAAAAAGTCAGGAAACAACAGGTGCTGGAGAGGATGTGGAGAAATAGGAACACTTTTACACTGTTGGTGGGACTGTAAACTAGTTCAACCATTGTGGAAGTCAGTGTGGCAATTCCTCAAGGACTAAAAATACCATTTGACCCAGCCATCCCATTACTGGGTATATACCCAAAGGATTATAAATCATGCTGCTATAAAGACACATGCACAGGTATGTTTATTGAGGCACTATTCACAATAGCAAAGACTTGGAACCAACCCAAATGTCCAACAATGATAGACTGGATTAAGAAAATGTGGCACATATGCACCATGGAATACTATGCATTTTTCTTTCCTAATAGCTTTTCCACTTTAAGTATTTATTTACACACATATTCCCCCATATTCTGCTTGATATGAAGTGTCAAAACCTTGCACTTTTGGTGCAAATGCTATCTCTTCCAAGTAGACTTTGGGCCCATTTCCTTCAGCCATGATGAAATCTAACTCTAATTACAGTTTTGGAAGTAACAAGAAGGGATGAAATGAATATCATGAAGAAGAGTGACTGCTTCAAGTGAGGAAAGTACAGGATCTTCAAATGAAAGGATTGTAGCCTCCTCATGCAGAAGAAAAAAATGGGTAAGGTAGGATCATTGAATTTAGGTATTCAGCATACTCATGTTCATACAAATCCTCTCAAATGTCCTCAGTATGATATTCAGGTTATTGCTATTTCCCTATTACTGAAACATCTGGAGCAGACCTGAATTTAACTTGGTTGTAAATCTGTTATGCAGAATCAAACTTTAGATCTGGTTTCAGAAACAGAATTTTTAAAATAAGAGATAAAACATGCTTTCTGATAAACCACAGAAACATGGTCTCTGACTGTGCCTTTAACTAAGTATTTAAAGGACTAAACTTGTCATTTTATTGTTGTTGTTAATGTTCCAGTATAGTCAGAAAAATCTAGTGTATCTATAGTCATCATTCCTCCCCCAGCAATCTAGGGCAGCAGTTATTTGGTGTCTTGAGGCATTGTCTTTCATAGGCACTTCATTTATGGTCACCGCCAGTTGATGTAACTTTTGTCGTGACACTCCAGAGACCACCAGCATCCCATATTGCACAAGAGATGATCAGAGATTCTTATTACATTAAGATCCACAAATATCAGGTAGCATAAAAACATTAAACACACACACAAACACACATGTACACATAAAATTACATAAAATTATATATTTTCTTATTTTTCATTCCAAGGAATACCAGTGCTTATAACTGCTTTTGATATTTCAATCCTAATCCGATAAATGCCACTAAGGATTACAGAAATAATAAATTAAGACTGTTTAATTTTACAGGCAAAACTATGCCAAGAGTTGACTGTTTTTATTAGGTTGCATTTGCTCTTAAGGCAGTAGTGTCAACAGCTCAAAAAATAAAGGAAAATTATTGTAAAGAACCACACACAGCAAGCCTCAGGAAAAGTGGAATCCAGGGCAATTATGAAGGTTTCAGCCCAAGAAATTCTTAGATGTTCACTGTGGTATTTTGCCACCAGTGAGATATTAGCTACAATTTACTAAATCAGTATGTTAGTACTATTTAGTTCGACTTCCCAAATGAGATACATTTAAATAACTTTCCATGGGCCAGAGGGTCACATTTGAAACAATAAGCTATGATTGTGGAAAAAGAGGATCATAAGGTATGACACTGATCTCAGACCCACTTTTTAAATCAGGTGGTGCATGTAGGTTTCAATTCTAGAAGAATAGATTACGGACTGAAACAGCAAAACAAAACGTATTTCATAGAAATCTTCTTCTTCTTCTTTTTCTTCTTCTTCTTCTTCTTCTTCTTCTTCTTCTTCTTCTTCTTCTTCTTCTTCTTCTTCTTCTTCTTCTTCTTCTTCTTCTTCTCCCCCTCCTCCTCCTCCTCCTCCTCCTCCTCCTCCTCCTCCTCCTCCTCTTCTTCTTCTTCTTCTTCTTCTTCTTCTTCTTCTTCTTCTTCTTCTTCTTCTTCTCCTTCTCCTTCTCCTTCTCCTTCTTCTTCTTCTTCCCCTTCCTCTTCTTCTTCTTCCTCTTCTTCATCTTCTTTCTTCTTCCTTTTTCGAGATACTTTGTTTAACATTCCATAGGTTACTATAGTAAAAAATGAACATGATACAAATTGCTGTGGCAGAAAATTCCATAAAACAGAGTAATCCAGCAATGTGGTTTTGGGCACATGGCCCCAGCCAAAACTATAATACCAAGTGAATATGGAGCTGAAGTTAGTTGAGGAGACTAGAGTTCTTTTTGAGAAACAGAGTGATTCTAAAATTCCTACAGGATATCCTGGTGGTTTCATGGGAATTTCAGGATAAGACAAAACAGAATGAATTATAGCCCATTAATGCCTTCCAAAAATTTCTAGAACTAACTCACCCATTTGATTGACCTCTAAATTTATCACATAGTATTATTTATTATTAAAGACTACACAGGAATGACTTGGAACAAGTGTGGTTCACCTGATATGCTATAAGTGTGTGTTTCTGAAATACACACTGAGGCTCATGATACTGGAGGGACCTGTGTACAAGGTGCCTAAGGCTGATTATAGGCCAGTGGCGTTGTGATACTTGGTAGCATATGATACCCACATATGCTATTTTTATTTGGTTTAACATGCCCAAAAGATGCAAAAATTTTTTACCCAGAATTACAGCCAGATAAATGTGATTTCCTCAGGTTTTGAATCTTATAGCATTTTTTGTTTTCTTAAAACTCAAATCTACCCTATACAGATTTATAACAATTTTTGAACTTTTTTTATCATGAGGGGAATATTATGCCTTATTCACAATTGTTATCTTTTATAGCACTTTTTATATAATGCTTTGTATATATTATGTCGACAAGATAGTTCCATTTACACTAATTGAGGTAGAAATTTTAAATTTCTGACAAAATACAGAATTCATTGTCTTTCCCCTTTAAGAAAAAAGTCGGCCGGGCTCAGTGGCTCACACGTGTAATCCCAGCACTTTGGGAGGCCGAGACGGGCGGATTACGACGTCAAGAGATCGAGACCACCCTGGCCAACATGGTGAAATCCCGTCTTTACTAAAAAAATACAAAAAATTAGCCTGCCGTGGTGGTGGGCGCCTGTAGTCCCAGCTACTCGGGAGGCTGAGGCAGGAGAATGGCGGGAACCCCGGAGGTGGAGCTTGCAGTGAGAGGAGATAGCGCCACTGCACTCCAGCCTGGGCGACAAAGGGAGACCTTGTCTCAAAAAAAAAAAAAAAAAAAGAAAGAAAGAAAGAAAAAAGTCATGTATTCTTGCAAATAATAATAATTCATTACAGTAAAAAATTATGTTATACCTACATTTTTCTACCCATAAGAGGTGTTTGCAAACCAATCTGTTCATCAGTCCATCTTAGGTTTTCAGTTCCCATCATCAATTCTGTTAGCATTACAAAAGGTACATATATCTTAAAAGAAACCTTTCATTAAGGAACAACATCCCTGCAAGTAGTTACTGTAGATAGCACCGTGGAAAGAATCTCCTCTCATTCTCTGAAAGGCATACCTGTATCAATTTCCTACTAAAAGTTACCAGCCTTTCCCTACTGTCACAGGGAGTTTTGATTTATGTCGCTCACTGTGAGGATTCAGTGAATAAGTCAATGCCAATTTTTGTGTACTCTCTGGTACACATATAATAGTTTGTCTGGTACTGTCATTTCCCTTTTACATGACATTCCAAAATGACAAAAACCATTGGTGATCATACACACACACACACACACACACACTGATGATCAAGACATATTGATCTAGATCAGAAAGAATAAAAATGTAAAAATCTAATTCAGTATACTCAATGATCAAATTATGCTTAATGAAGCTTATAATTCATTTAATTTCCCCTACCCTCAATTCTCCTAAATTGTGCTTTTGTTGTAATTAGTTTAGAACATGGAAATTTGCAATGTATTTTTATTTTGAACATATCGTCTAAGTTGAAACTTCCCAAAATCTGTCTAGAATCAAAATAAATAGAAACATCTTGTGAGTTTTTCAAATGTCTCTTTTAATAATACATGCTAAAAAAATAGATAATAAGGTTACTTCATATGCACACACACGTATCACTCACTACGAGGATTCAGGAAATAAATTAATGGCATGTTCTTCTATATTCTCTGGTACATACAATAAAAAGTTTTCAAAACAGACAATTTTTGTTAAAAAATTATATTTGTGTGGTGGGGGGCAAGGGTAGGGAGAGTATTAGAACAAATACCTAATGCATGCAGGGCTTAAGACCTAGATGACAGGCTGATAGGTGCAGCAAACTGCCATGGCACATGTATATACCTATGTAACAAACCTGCACATTCTCCACATGTATCCCAGAACTTAAGGTAAAATTTAAAAACATTATCATTTCTAAACATGCATAAACATGTAACTACCCAATGGATGAGATGGACATTTAAAACCAAAGGACTGCTATTTCTAGTAACATTGTGACAGGATCCTTGGGGCCACAGAGGATGGCACCTTTGCCTGAGCAAAACTCACGAGCCACTAGGCTCGTTCTACTCACTCAGCCTGGCAGGCTGACCTTGGCTTATGCTACTGGCCTGTTTCCCATGCCTGTCAAGGGCGAGTCAAGTGTGGAGCAGTGAGGGGGTGTGAGAGAGTGAGCATGGGGTATGGTCACTGTGTACAGCTAGGCATGCCAGCTGTGGTGGGGTGGGCAGCTCCAGGTGCCAGCGTGGGGGCTGGCTCCCTGCAAGGCTGCAGCTGGACCAGGCACAAGCAGCTTCTATGGCTGCCACGAGGGGACATGGTTGCGCCCAGAACCTTAGAGACACCGGGAACCACAGAGCCCCAAAGAAGGTGTCACAGCCCTGGCTCAGGGAGCTCCCAGGTCTGGGCTCCCTGAATGGCCGCAGCTCTTCTCTCTTTCCCTCTTACCTCCTCCTTGTCGCCTGCAATGTGGCAAGCAAGGGGCATGTTTCAGCCCTGTTTGTGTTACAGTTCTTTCAGTCCCACCGTTTGATGGGTCCTGAGTTCTTGTCCTGTGTCCAGGAAGAATAAAGTATGTGGACAGGTGGAGGGTGAATAAGGCAAACAATTGCTTTATTTAGTGACAGAACAGTATAGGTCTCAGAGGAGACCTATACTGGGTAGCTCCTCTCCACAGTCAGGTCGTCCCAATGAGTGTCCAGCTCTCAGCAGAGAGGACACCCACAGTGGGTAGCACCTGTCCACAGGGAGGCTACTCCGTCATCTGCCCGAGTCTAAATGAGTCCAGGGTTTTTATGGGCTTCATAGGGGAGGAAGTGCATGCCAGATTGGTCCGTAGGTGGCCATGGGCAGGCCCGGAAAAAGCGCGAGTTTTCACTCTGGTGCACGGAAAAGGCAACGTGGAGCCCAGGCCTCAGGCCCTCCCTGGCTTGAAGGTGGGGTTTCACCAGGGACTTGACCCTTTCCAGCCAGGATCCTATTTGCTTTCTGCCACCATTAACCTGCCAGCCACGGTGCCCATGGCGACCAGGCTGTTGCTGCAGGGAGCCTACAGGCCCACGCCAAGCTGCCCCTCTCGGGCTCCCTCCCATGCTTGTTGGTGACCAAAGTCCAGAAGGCACCAAGGTGGCAGGGGGCTAGCATTTCACTGCTGCCCCAGGCACGTGCACACCCCGCCAGGTGATGACGGTGCCTGAGCTCAGCCACAACTTTGCTGTGAAACGGGAGTGGGCACTGGGAGTGGGGAGAGACCAGGCAGCAGGAACAGGCACTTCTGAGGCTGCGGGGGCAGGGGGGCTTCCTGCACCTCCCATCCCCGCAAAGTGCAGGGATACACAGATCCACAGCCAAGACTAAGCGGATGCAGCTGTGCCTGTGAGGGCGGGGCTCCCACCCCTCCAACTTGTAAGAGGGTGGGGCTACCACCTGTTCCCAGCTCCTGCCAGCTCCATGGAGCGGCAGTCCCAGCTGCGCCTCCCTCACTGAGCTAGCGTCAAGACAGCGGACACTCCAGACAGGCTGCTGCTGCCATCAACATTTCATTTTGACAAAATGTTTTGTGTTGTTTAACCATGTGAGCTCTCCAACAGCCCGTTGCTTTTGAATCCTGGATATGTCACATAAAAACTGCGGGACCTTGGACTAATTAATATGATTCAAACTCAGTTTTCTTATTTTTTAAATAGGGGTAATAAGAGTAACTACTTCATAAGGTTGTTGTGAAGATTAGGCATCAGTGCCTGCACTGGCAAGCATTGAATAAATGTAAGCTATTGTCGTTATCATACATTTCCACAAATGGAAAATAGAGAATATATAAATATCTGGTATAAAATAGTGGATTTATTGAATTATTTCCTTCAATAATTCACAAACATATTTCCAATTACTGCCTTCTTATGACACACAAGTCTGAAAATATATCATGTTTGAATTTCCTAGCAGAGGAAGAGTAGGTATTTCCATCCACAGATATTGGCTTGGTCATGTGATTTGCTTTGACCAATCTAATGTAAGTTAGTCAGAAGCTATTCAAGAAATATGAACCACACCAGCTGTTTGAACAGAGATATTTTCATATAAACTAATCTTAATAATTAGATATTGGTGACAACTTAATTAAAAAGCAAAAGGAAACACTACATTTTCATGGAGTTGCTGTGGAAAGCACTTACCATCCCTAAGGCTGGAGGTTAAAAAGGGAAGAGGCTGAAACTGTTAATAATAGAAGTTTGGAGGAGAGACCTCATTAAAATGGAACGTGGACTCCTGATAAGGTTGGTACTCGTACCTGAAGTCCTGTGAAGAAAGATTCTGTAGAACTTGGTTGCAGGCCTTGAGGAAAGGGCACAATTCATTTCATAATGATGCCTTAGGTCTAAAAGAGGGAGCTTATTAAGAGGAGGAAATAAAATTCTGAGAAAGAGGCTTTGACCAGCTAGTGCTGGTATATTCTGAGTAGACACAATGAGACTGGTTTGGGGAATTTCAGAAAAACTACAAGCCACTCTGTTTATTTATTTATTTACTTGAGACAGAGTCTTGCTCTGTCGCCCAGACTGTTGGGCAGTGGCACGGTCTCAGCTCACTGCAATCTCTGCCTCCCGGGTTCAAGCAATTCTCTTTCCTCAGCCTCCCAAATAGCTGGGATTACAGGTGCATGCCACCACACTGGGCTAATTTTTTTTTTTTTCAGTAGAGATGGGGTTTCACCCTGTTGGCCAGGCTGGTCTTGAACTCCTGACCTCGTGATCCGCCTGCCTTGGCCTCCCAAAAAGTGCTGGGATTACAGACATGAGCCACCGCACCTGGCCTCATCTGTCACTTTCAGGGTAAGGAAGTTTAGCTGGGGTTATACACATGAGGAAGGAATAAATCTCTTCTGGTTACTTCAGATTTTCAGTCATTTTCTTCCTTCTTCAGACTTCCAGATTTCTCCTGATTTCTAGAGCCTTCTATTGCTGTATCTCCAGCTGCCCAGCAGATTTTTTTTTTCTTTTTACCCCTGCTCCTCCCTATGCCCAGCATATTTGAGACGGCATCAAATCTATCCACATAGATACTATCAAGAGAAACTAATGTTTTCCTTTATCATTTAACATCTTAGCCTATGACCTTTCAAAAGTATAGCACATGGTTATAAAATTCTGTCTTTTTAAAAACAGATTAACTTTGTGACTTTAGACATTTTTATTAATTTATTTCTACTGCATATTTCTCTGGATGACCCTCTGATATAAAAGCAAGAATCTCACGGCACATAATTGATTTACAGCACTGAGTTTTGGAATGGTTTGTTATTCAGTAAGAGCTGACTGATACAAGTGGATAGGTAAGCAGTTAGGTCAATAGATAGGTAGATAGAAAAATAGATGCCCATGAGGACAGGGCTTTCATTTGTCTTAGTCAGCACTACATCTTCCTCTTCTACTGGAATACTGCCTGATACATTTTGATGAGTGAAATAGTCACTAAATGAATGAATATATTGATTATAAATATTTAAATCCAGCATATTTTACTTAACTTTGCTCTAGAAACAGTTAACAATATCATTAAAAATCCTTGCAAAATTTTTCCCAGGGGCTTCCTATGAATATATCATAATTTCCCTTACAGTCTATTGGCAAGAAACATTATTTGGTTTCTAATTTGATTTTATTATAATAGTACTGTGGTTAATATTTTTATCCCTGCATGAAATCCTGAATCTCTAAATATTTTTATTTGGAATCTGTTAATAAAGGATACATTTTAGGTCAAAGGATCTACATGCACATACATACACACTCCACACATACATAAAAAATTCCAAAGATATCACATATATGTTATTTTACTACAAATATTTCATGTCATGTATACACAAGAGGGCATTCAATCTTTTTATGTAAGTATTATCTGGAACAACTTATATTTTCATGTATGATTTAACATCTTAACCAATGTCCTTTTAAAACTATAGTGCATGATCATAAAATTCTTTAGTAGAGATTAACTGTGATTTTGGGCATTTTAATTAATTTATTTCCTCTAGAGATTTATTCACCTACAAGATAAGAATGACAATAATAATGCTTATTTCATGGTTTTGTTTCTATGATTAAATGTGTTAACTGATCTAAGGTGCTTAGCATAGTGACTGAAACATAATATTAGTTTTATTAATCAAGGGTTGAATATTTGAAATAGTAGTTTTAATAAACATGGGATAATAGTCTCGTATTTGTCCATTTTCATTCTGCTTATAAAGACATACCTGAGACTGGGAAATTTACAAAAGAAAGAGGTTTAATTGGACTTATAGTTCCACGTGGCTGGGGAAGGTCTCACAATCATGGTGGAGGATGAAAAGCACTTCTTACATGGCAGTGGCAAGAGAGAATGAGAAGGAGGCAAAGTGGAAACTGATAATAAACCCATCAGATCTTGTGAGACTTATTCACTATCACAAGAATAGCATGGGAAAGACCGGCCCCCATGACTCAATAACCTCCCACTGCGACCCTCCCACAACACATGGGAATTCTGGGAGATACGATACATGTTGAGATTTGGGCAGGGACAGAACCAAACCATATCATTCCACCACGGCCCCTCCCAAATCTCATGTCCTCACATTTCAATGCCAATCATGCCTTCCTGACAGTTCCCCAAAGTCTCATCTGAGACAATGCAAGTCCCTTCTGCCTATGAGTCTGTAAAATCAAAAGCAAGTTAGTTACTTCCTAGATACAATATGGGTACAGGCATTTCATAAATACAGCCATTCCAAATGGGAAAATTGGCCAAAACAAAGGGGCTACAGGCCTCATGCAAGTATGAAATACAGCAGGGCAGTCAAATTTTAGAGTTCCAGAATGATGTCCTTTGACTCCATGTCTTGCATCCAGGTCACGCTGCTGATGCAAGAGGTGGATTCCCATGGTCTTGGGCAACTCCACCCCTGTGGCTTTGCAGAGTCCAGCCTCTCTCTCAGCTGCTTTCACGGCTGGGCATTGAGTGTCTGTGGCTTTTCCAGGTGCACAGTGCAAGCTGTGGGTGGCTCTACCAATCTGGGTTCTGGAGGATGGTTGCCCTCTTCTCACAGCTCCACTAGGCAGTGCCCCATTAGGGACTCTGTGTGGGGGCTCTGACACCACATTTCCCTTCTGCTGCCCTAGCAGGGGTTCCACATGAGGGCCCTGCCCCTGCAGCAAACTTTTATTTGGGCATCTAGGTGCTTCCATACATCTTCTGAAATCTAGGAGGAAGTTCCCAAACCTCAATTCTTGACTTCTGCGCACTCACAGGCTCAGCACCACGGGGAAGCTGCCGAGGCTTGGGTCTTGCACCCTCTGAAGCCATGGCCTAAGCTCTGTGTTGACCCCTTTCAGCCATGGCTGGAGTGGCTGGGACACAGGGCACCAAGTCCCTAGGTTGCACACAGCACAGGGACCCTTGGTCCAGCCCACAAAACCACTTTTTCCTCCTGGGCCTCCAGGCCTGTGATGGGAGGGGCTGCTGCAAAGGTCTCTGACATGGCCTGGAGACATTTCTCCCATAGTCTTAGGGATTAACATTCGGCTCCTTGCTACTTAGGCAAATTTCTGCAGCCAGCTTAAATTTCTCCCCAGAAAATGGGTTTTTCTTTTCTACTTCATTGTCAGGGTGCAATTTTTTTGAACTTTAATGCTCTGTATCCTTTTTAAAACAGAATGCTTTTAACAACACCCAAGTCATCTCTTGAATGCTTTGCTGCTTAGAAATTTCTTGCACCAGGTACCCTAAACTGGTATCTTTTGTGCCCTAACTGGCACAATACAGGGATGCCCTCTCTCAACACTCCTATTCAACATAGTGTTGGAAGTTCTGGCCAGGGCAATCAGGCAGGAGAAAGAAATAAAGGGTATTCAATTAGGAAAAGAGGAAGACATATTGTCCCTGTTTGCAGATGACATGATTGTATATTTAGAAAACCCCATCATCTAGGCCAAAAATCTCCTTAAGCTGATAAACAACTTCAGCAAAGTCTCAGGATACAAAATCAATGTGCAAAAATCACAAGCATTCTTATACACCAATAACAGACAAATGGAGAGTCAAATCATGAGTGAACTTCCATTCACAATTGCTTCAAAGAGAATAAAATACCTAGGAATCCAACTTACAAGGGATGTGAAGGACTTCTTCAAGGAGAACTACAAACCACTGCTCAATGAAATAAAACAGGATACAAAGAAATAGAAGAACATTCCATGCTCATGGATAGGAAGAATCAATATTGTGAAAATAGCCATACTGCACAAGGCGATTCATAGATTCAATGCCATCCCCATCAAGCTAACAATAACTTTCCTCACATAATTGGAAAAAACTACTTTAAAGTTCATATGGAACCAAAAAAGAGCCCACATTGTCAAGTCAATCCTAAACCAAAAGAACAAAGCTGGAGGCATCACGCTACCTGACTTCAAACTATACTACAATGCTACAGTAACCAAAACAGCATGGTACTGGTACCAAAACAGAGATATAGACCAATGGAACAGAACAGAGCCCTCAGAAATAATACCACACATCTATAACCATCTGATCTTTGACAAACCTGAGAAAAACAAGCAATGGGGAAAGGATTCCCTATTTAACAAATGGTGCTGGGAAAACTGGCTAGCCATATGTAGAAAGCTGAAACTGGATCCCTTCCTTACACCTTATGCAAAAATTAATTCAAGATGGATTAAAGACTTAAATGTTAGACCTAAAACCATAAAAACCCTAAAAGAAAACCTAGACAATACCATTCAGGGCATAGGCATGGGCAAGGACTTCATGTCTAATACAACAAAAGTAATGGCAACAAAAGCCAAAATTGACAAGTAGGATCTAATTAAACTACGGAGCTTCTGCACAGCAAAAGAAACTACCACCAGATTGAACAGGAAACCTACAGAATGGGAGAAAATTTTTGCAATCTACTCATCTGAAAAGGGCTAATATACAGAATCTACAATTAAACAAATTTATGAGGAAAAAAACAAACAACCCCATCAAAAAGTGGGTGAAGGATATGAACACACACTTCTCAAAAGAAGATGTTTATGCAGCCAACAGACACATGAAAACACGCTCATCATCACTGGCCGTCAGAGAAATGCAAATCAAAACCACAATGAGATACCATCTCACACCAGTTAGAATGGCGATCATTAAAAAGTCAGGAAACAATAGGTGCTGGAGAGGATGTGGAGAAATGGAACACTTTTACACTGTTGGTGGGACTGTAAACTAGTTCAACCATTGTGGAAGACAGTGTGGCAATTCCTCAAGGATCTAGAACTAGAAATACCATTTGACCCAACGATCCCATTACTGGGTATATAACCCAAGGATTATAAATCATGCTGCTATAAAGACACATGCACACGTATGTTTATTGCAGCACTACTCACAATAGCAAAGACTTGGAGCCAACCCAAATGTCCATCAAAGATAGACTGGATTAAGAAAATGTGGCACATATACACCATGGAATACTATGCAGCCATAAGAAATGATGATTTCATGTGCTTTGTAGGGACATGCATGAAGCTGGAAACCATTCTCAGCAAACTATTGCAAGGACAAAAAACCAAACACTGCATGTTCTCAATCATAGGTGGGAATTGAACCATGAGAACACATGGACACAGGAAGGGGAACATCACACACCGGAGCCTATTGTGGGGTGGGGGAAGGTGGGAGGGAAAGCATGAGGAGATATACCTAATGTAAATGATGAGTTAATGAGTGCAGCACACCAACATGGCACGTGTATACATATGTAACAAACCTGCATGTTGTGCACATGTAACCTAGAATTTAAAGTATAATAATAACAAAAAAAGACATACCCAGGACTGGACAATTTAAAAAAGAAAGAGATTTAATTGCACTTACAGTTCCACGTTGCTGGAGAAGGTCTCACAATCATGGTGGAAGGCTAAAGGCACTTCTTACATGGACGCAGCAAGAGAGAATGAGAAGAAAGCAAAAGCAGAAACCCCTGATAAAGCATCAGATCTAGTGAGACTTTTTCACTATCACAAGAATAGCATGGGAAAGGCCGGCCCCCATGATTCAGTTATGTCCCACTTGGTACCTCCCACAACACGTGGAAATTCTGGGAGATACAATTCAAGTTGAGATTTGGGTGTGATACAGCCAAACCGTATCAATTCTAACAATATAAAACATAATGTTTTATATTTTTCACTTAATATTGTTTATTTCCATTACAAAGAATGTTAAAGTTTACTTAAAGTTTTGAAATTTTTAGAGAAAAATCGTGAGTAATAAATAGATTATTTAGATGATTTGTCAGATATTTTCACTGTTAATAATAATAAGATGTACAATAGTACATTTTTATAATCTTGAATCTTTTACTGAGAATAAAATTTCTCAATTCAACACATACAATTGTAGGTGTTAGAACTGGAAGAAACCTCAAATATATTTGTTCTGAAAAGATTTAAACTCAGATTTCTGGGCCGGACACTGTGGCTTAACGCCTGTAATCCCAGCACTTTGGGAGGCCAAGGCAGGTGGGTCACCTGAGGTCGGGAATTCAAGACCAGCCTGGCAAAAATGGTGAAACCCTATCTCAACTAATAATACAAGAAATTAGCTAAGCATGCTGGTGGTTGCCTGTAATCCCAGCTACTTGGGAGGCTGAGGCAGGAGAATTGCTTGAACCTGGGAGGCGGAGGTTGCAGTGAGCCAAGATCGTGTCATTGCACTCTGGCCTGGGCAACAAAAACGAAACTCCATCTCAGAAAGAAAAAAAAAAATATATAGACTCAGATTTCTAAAGGTATCAAAGAATTTGAGCTGGGGGAAAGTGGGGAACCTCACTAGCCTCATAGTTTAAGCTATATTCTATCCTATACTGTTGCTTGGTTGATGGATGCAAAGATAGGTAGTTAGGAGCAGGTCTCTTTTACTTGGTTTCCCTGAGGCCCATTACCATTGCTCAAGCAGTTTATAGCCCATACATTTTATCCTTCATTTGGCACATTTATTAACCAAATTTGAAACCTAATCTCATTCACTAAACAAAACTTATTCATCAGACAGCAGGAAAGAAAGCAAGAGTGAAATTTTGTTCATAAGCCCCCCTTAGTCTGCAAATCTTCACTCAGGCTATCCTTTCAGAGTTTAAAGAAAGAGATGAATAGTATGACCAATTCAATGGTATGACCAATATGATGGGTCTGGGTGAATTGAATTTTTACCTGTGTTGAACCACAGATAGATAGTATTGAGGATCACCAGAGTTCATGTCTTGGGACTCCATATACATATGTATTGCCAGCAACTGACATTTACATCTTCCTGTTTTTTACAATATCTCTGCTTTTGATAGTGCTAGAAACAACTCTATCTTTAAAAAATGGAGAAATTAGCTAGGACTTTCCTGCTCAACACAAATATTTACTCACCCAAATATGGAAATTATCATTGTGTCAACCTGTGACAGGATGATGGACATAGTTATTAATTTACAGTAGTGCAGTTTTTACTGTATTGTTCAACACATTTCTTCCATCACTATTCATTACAACTGGAAGGCCAGAATCATTTGCCAGGGACTAGAGAAGAATGCTAAATTCAGTTTATGAGAGAAAAAGCCAAAGATTTGGATGTAAATTGGAGGAAATTTGAATGTTTTAATAGATTCTAGTAAAATTTATGTTTGTATTGGCCTCAAATATGAAAAGAACTAAAAATGGGGAAGCACAAAATTAGAGACAAGGAAACAAGTATGATATAAGATGGCAAATTTTTGACAAAAGATTAACTTAACCTTACTGATAAGAATTGAATTGGGGACAGAAAGAAAAAATTAAATAAATTTTAGTGCCCCATAACTAAAGAAGTTTGGGGACAATTAGAAAAGGCAACAATAACATGTCATTTCCAGACTGAAGTTTGATTGCAGCAGCCTCAAAAATTATGCCAGAAATAAGTGCTGAGATTTCAACATAGATGCTATTAACAAAAAATTAAGAATTTAAAAAGAATATTTCTTGCAACTGAGCCTATTTTCATGTTTTTAAACCCCTACTAATCTTGTCACAGATAACTTAATCTAGATATTTTCAAGTAAATTTATTATCAATTCATATTAATTTAATTATTTATGTCAGCTAAATTCAACATTCACAAATCATTTCTAGTCCAATTTGCAAACACATCCTAAGCCTTTTTTTTTTTTTTTTTTTTTTTGCTTTAACTGCTACTTCACGTCTCTTGTGAGTGTAAATATTAGAGTAGATTGCTGGTGGCATAAGGCACTCGGAAACAAGAGGAGCCCTTGAGCTCACCAAGAGTCCCATGGCCTAGTGAATCATGAAAAGTATGTACAAGTTTCTAATGTCCTTAGAAGTACACTCATGAATAACTTGAAGAATGAAAGTCAGGCAAGCATCAGGAGTCTAACTGGAAAGGCAAAAATGTCCAACTATGACAAGAGAAGTACAACAATATTTCCATGTTACCATTCATTCTATGTGATAAAAGAGGCAAATGTACCACCATCAGACCTACCACTGAGAATTACTTGTGCCAAGAGACAGGTTAGGAGAACATCAGCAGCGAAAGACAATAGGAACACAAAATTGAGCTTTACTCTCTGATTCTTCATCTTTAGCAGGATCAAATTATGTTAATGGCCTCTCCACTATCCCTAGCTACCTTCTACTATTTCCACATATGCAGGACCTCATGCAGTGGTTGAACAACAACAACCAAAATTTAAAGGTGTTTGCAGACTGCACTGGAACTGTGCTGTGAATCTTGAATTTGCAGAAATACATAATTTGATTTAATCAAATTGATATGAAGATATCTAGATTTAGTTACTTGGAAATACTAGGTACTCTGAGGAACAAGACTGTCTACTCGCAAAGTAAAATTGTTTTTTACATCCTTGATCTCTAGTTGACACCATTTATATCAATACTCAAATCATTGTTTTTGCCAGTTTTAAAATGTGCCATATTAGATGGTTCTATTTAGAAAGTCAATTCATTTTTGAAGGACATTTTGCATCTGCCTCCTTATGGTGGACCCATCATATGGTTAAGTTCCATTAAATCTGGCAAGCCAAAGAGTCCATATAAATAATTGCATTTATTTCTTTTCTTTTTTTTTTAGTGTTAAGAGGCCAGCCCTTACAGTTCTCTAGGCCCAAACCATCTCTCCCATGATTTATAGCCAAGTAATTTGAGGTCTAGAACTAATAATTTCTCTACTTAAAATGGTTTATCTTCTTTGCAAGACGCTCAAACTTACTGTATGTCTTGCTGCCACGATCTCATTTAGTATAAATGAATGAATGAATGAATAAATAAATAAATAAATAGTTTTTTTCCTTTATTATCAAAACCATCTCACTTTCACTGACTGTGAATCTGTATATTCTCTCAGTGAACACTACAACATATTTTCAGTGGAAAATCAAGGACTTCATTTTAAATTCCAATTTCTGGGGAAGATCCCATTAAGACAATTTTTATTTTAAGTCATTTATTCACTAATGACTCATTTCTAGGTTTTGTGGGCTATATCATATGCTAAGATTGAAATAATTACCGTTCTTAATACCTTTGGTTTACCTCTCTCAAATTTTGACTGCACATAGTTCCATTGCTTTTACAATCTGTTGTTGAAGGTATCAAATACATTATAGTGTAATGCTATTTCAAATGGAATCTTGGGATGAAGGGTTTGTGGAATTAGCAAGAGTTGAGATTTCACCATTCCCAATGAAATCACACATTTCACTTTATCAAACCATGAGTGTCATGTACTCCATTGTGTTTTCTCAGGTATTTGACTTTTAAAAATCCAAAAGAAACCTTAATTTTAAATCACATATAAGTGGACCTGGATTAAAAAATTGACTTAACAGTTGGCAGCAGAATTTCTCTAAAATAGCTACAACTGTCTCTGTTCTAGAAAAGTGTTCCCTAAATGTTAACATTTTATAAATTTTTACAATGTTTTGCCATGAATTCATCATTCCTTTATTATTTTTACCTAGTATTTTGTAAATGGACTCATTTTCATTAAAGTACTTTTATTTTAAAATAAAATTTTAATTACCACAAATAAAAAGATATTCAAACAGAAACAACAAAAAGCGTCATTATATTGGATACATTTGCCTTCTAGAGCCCTTATCTGAGGCTTGTATTTTTGTTGTTAAAAAGTTATTAGCTAATGCTAGAAAATGTGTAAGACATAATAACCACAAATTGATAATTTCCTTCTGAGTTTAAAAGAAATATTGAAAGGAAGAAATTTCCAGTGATTGGATTTAATGCTAATTAATGTTTTAACATGGTATTGCCAAACATTCTGTTCTTTACTACCAGAAATGATATTAGTGCTATTGGAAAAGGTTGTTAGCAAGAGTTGGAGAACATTAAGTGCTAAAAGTTCTGTAACAGAAATGCTCTGTTGGGGGTGTGGTGAAATTGCTAAGATGCCATGTGTCAAAGGCAGAAGTAAGAGAGAGGGACTGATTGAATTTTATGTCTGACCTTCCATTTAAGTTTGGATTGGTATGATATTAGCCCCGTTTCTCTCCACCAAAACTCAGTGAAGCTGTCCATACACACAAAGTTCATGTATGCAAGTACATAGGTAATTTATTTAGGTATGCAAATCAGGACTGAGTACCATATCTGGATTGATATGGTATGGAAAAAGCATTGCATATTCATGCATGTGAGCCAACCCATAAACTGAACAGATTTGGAAGAAGGAATTTCTCTGAAACAATGATGAAAATGAGAGGCTATGTTAACTATGAATTTATAAGTATAGGAAAGTATATATTTAAAGTATAGGAAAAACATTAGACTTTCCATAAATAGTGGCATAGATATTTCAGAAAACATTTTATAGATCTTAATGAGCAGGATTGATTTAGTTTACAATTGGATTACATATGCTAGAGTCAATTTTTAAAATGTTTTTCCTTCCTTTATATTTATTTTTTAACGTTTAAATTTTCCTGAACCTCTCAGTTAGTGTATATGTATTCAATTCAGGTTTATTGGCTTGAAAAAATTATATTTATCCCCAAGTCTTGGAGAGGAAATCCAAGAATGAAAGTTTGATATTACTTTAAACAAATAAATAAACCATGCAAGTATATTAAATTCTAGGAAATTTAATGTATAATTGTCAAATATTTAGTTTTTTAATGAAAATTTTTCCATACCTTGTTTTATAGATTTTTCAAACTTTTTAGGTGTTAAAAACAATATACTATTCTTTTATATTTTGGAAATATTAGTGAATTATGAACACTTATATAATTAAACAATTGCTATAAAATCTCCACTCTGGCGGAAATAGATTTAGACAAATTTTTAATTGTGTTCTAAGCTTACTTAGCTTAATGTGTTTGCATATATTTTAGAATACCTTCAAACTGTATTGAGATTAAATATCAGTTTATCCCATACACTATATCTAGCCTTTGTGTTTTGTTAGCTTATCTTCTGTTTTGTAAATTATTTATGCAAAGATCATGTAAACGTGCTTGGATCTAAATCTTTCTCCCAGTTGATGTGACTTGGCAATATTTAAAACTTGAAAGCAAACAAAAGTTGTTTATTTGGAAAATAAAAAAGGTTTTGGAAATTTTTTGAAAGGTTCATTATTTTACAAAATTGCAGGACTCCTATTTTCCTTGATTAGTAACTGAAATTTTTGGCATTCTCTGCTGTTAACGTTTTGGGCAAAAATACTGTATTTTAACTTATCATATTTAACTCAGCTGAATTTTTAGTATCTAGACCTCCAGAATATTGCACTTTTGTGTGTGTTTGTGTGTTTGACTACAAATACATACATCACTAAATAAATATTTTACATGGTTTTTGTTGAATCCATGTAAGTGCAGCGGAAAGAAAAAAAAAAAGGTAGAATTGCTCAGCCCCTAGAAACCAGTTTTACATATTCAGGGAAAAAGATGATTCACTGTATATATTTCTACTCCACCATATTGACACACCTAGAGCCTGGTTGCTTTTTCACATTCCACAGCATCCTTATACACCAAAAAGCAGAAAATCTAAATAATCTACCCTCATTCTTTTAGGAAAAAAGTGAAGGGATCATTATGTTTCATTTTAAAATATTCAACTTTCCATTTTCTGCCTTGTTCCAGAGCAAGTGTTTTATAAATAATTAAAAGCAAGGACTTTGAATCTGCCAGATAAAGGATCAAATCTGGGTTCTTTCCTTTATTGAGTAACCTTGGAAAATACAAACAAGGTTTCTGAACTTCATTTTTATTAACTGTAAAATCTCAATTATAAAAACAGTATCATAACATTATTAATATTTAATAAATTCATATACATCACTTGGCACAGAGTCGGCACTCAACAAATGATAACTCGTTATTATTATTTATGACATCCCATGTGATTTATTTTTAAAAAAATGTCTTCTCCCTCTCTCTGAAAGTTACAACCGTTTTATGAATCTTTCATCACTGTGGAAAACTATGTTCTTTTGCTTTACTGAAGTTTCCAAGTCCATTAGCCAAATGATCTAATGGCTTTTCTTTTCAATTTAAACTTATATTGAACATCACTTTTGGAACTAACAGCAAAGAGATGGAATGGATACATTTAAGGGAGGAAACAAAATTTTTCCTCTACCTATCTTTGGTTCAATGTCTGGGTCTTGCACATTTGATTGACAGGTTGAGGGAGCAGCAATATGGCTGACTATGTGCACAGCACTCGCCTCGTCCAGAAGGAAGACCAAAAGTATTGCCTGGCTGGATTATCATACATTAAATGTAGTCTCTAAAAGAGAACTCTGGAATTTAGCAAAGGAGTGATGAAGAACCTCTCAGGGATGGAAATAAAGAGAAGCAAAGCAGCCAACCCATTTGGAACCAGCATGGAACTAGGAAAAACTCCCTGGTGTAAGGAAAAAAATAAGCAAAAGATCCCCAGTTGTCAACATTGCCACTGCTGACTCTTGCAATCCTAGCCACAGGAGAGCTTCTTGTCCTTTGCGAGCCCTGAGACTAACCTTGGGAATTGCCTGGAATCCACTCAAAGGCGTTGTTTCAGAGAGGCAGTTCATACTGGGTTCCACTCCCCACCACCCCAAGATCCAAGCAGTTGTAGCATGGTGCCAATTTGAAAGCCCTGACCCCAGCAGGTTACATCCTGCACTGGCTCCGAGAAGCCTCTGCATCTCCACATCTCTGGAGCTTCACTGGCATTTCCTCACATCCATGCAAAGGGCTGATCTATCATAATGCTGATTGGATCCAGTGATTTGACCCATTCACCAGATCCCTAGCACTGTAGCCCATGCAGTGAGGAACAGGTGGCACACCACACCAAAGAGGTTGCCCTAAGACAAAGGGAGCTGGAGAACATGCTACTCAGAGCCTGAGAACTGCCTTCCATGGGCCGTTGCCACGGATAGCAGCCATCCTCCAGCAGCGGGGCCATCTACCTGCATGTAACTTTGGGGGGTCTGGATGGTGGTCCATCTGGACATCTTCCTGCAGCCTAGTATTGACCCAACCAGCCCACCACCACTGCCACTGTCATCAAGGGGGCTGGCTAGAGGACTGTTCTCCCCAGCACCACTGCTGCCCACCACCACTTTTGTGCTGTGCCCATGTGCATGGCCTGGGGACCTGAGGACAGGGTGGCCCTGCCCACTGCCATCAGTGCACCTACTTGCACCATCTGGGGGCCTGGGGAACGACCCACCATACCTGCCCCCACAGTTACCCGTGCTGATTGTCTGGGGGTCTAAGGAGAGGTCTGCCCCACCCGCCACTATCCCCAGGCAAAAATGCACTGTCTGGGGGTCTGGGGATTGACCCATCCTACCAGATTCAGCCTGTACCCATGCACATGACCAGAGTAACTGAGGACAGGCTCAATTTTGCCTAGTGCAACCCCTGCCAGTGCCTGTGTGTGTTGTCCAGGAGCCTGGGGATCAAACTACCCTATATCACTGCCTCTGGTGCTGTGTATACCACTGTAGGACCCTGAAGATAGGTCTTCCCTACTGGTGACTGCTGGCACCCACAGGTGCCCTCTGAGTGAGGAGAGGCCTATCCAGATTGCTTCTGTCACCTTCACTGGCATCCATGTGAAGGTGTCATCTGGTAGCCTGGGAATTGGTTTTGCTTAGCTTGCCACTGCCACCACTGTGCATGCATATACCACTCAAGGGCCCAAGGGTTGGCCTGAAAACCATAACTCCCTTTGCCCATGCAACCCATGCCATCCAGTGACTTAAGAACCCACCTGACCACTTATCCCACCACTGCCACTGCCAACACTTAAGCAAGTGACCTGGGCGGCCCAAAGATCAGCCTGCCCAAACCACCATCACTGGTGCTTATGTATGCAGCACAAGAGCCCAAGGACCAGCAAGAGAGGCCTTCCACCTCCACCACAGATGCCCAAGGACCAGCCTACTTAGTGTACCCATCCCCAGCAAACCTTCACCAGAGCCTTCTAATAACTGAAACCTAAGCCACTGAAGAGCTCACAAACACACTGACACTAATTACAGCCAAAGAAATCATAAGGAGACTACATTACTATTTCCACCCAGAATCAAACCAAAGCATCCTACCCAATCAAAACACATCAACAGGAAAATGTCTTTCTCAAGGAAAGCCAATCCATAAAATTGGAAGAAGTGATTGTTACAACAGATTTGTAGATATGAATATAAAAACACAAAAAAATGAAAAAGAAAGAAAATGTGATGCCTCAAAAGGAAAACAATCATTCTCTAGCAAGTTTCTCATGCAAAGGAAATCTATGAAACAGTTGTAAAAGAATTCAAAACAATGCTATTAAAGATAGTGAGGGAGTCACTTCCAAGATGGCCGAATATGAACAGCTCCAGTTTGCAGCTCCCAGCGAGATCGACGCAGAAGATGGGTGATTTCTTCATTTCCAACTGAGGTACCTGGTTCATCTCACTCAGACTGGTTGGACAGTGGGTGCAACCCACGGAGGGTGAGTTGAAGCAGGGCGGGGCATTGCCTCACCTGGGAAGTGCAAGGGGTCAGGAGATTTCCCTTTCCTAGCCAAGGGAAGCCGTGACTGACTGTATCTGGAGAAACAGTTCACGCCTGACCAAATACTGTGCTATTCCCACAGTCTTAGCAACCAGCAGACCAGGAGATACCCTCCCATGCCTGGCTCAGTGGGTCCCATCCCATGCCCACGGAGCCTTGCTCACCGCTAGTGCAGAAGTCTGAGATCCACCTGCCATGTTGCAGCTGGATGGAGGAAGGGGTGTCTGCCATTGCTGAGGCTTGAGTAGCTCAAGGTGTAAACAAAGAGGCCTGGAAGCATGAACTGGGCAGAGCCAACTGCAGCTCAGCAAGGCCTACTGCCTCTATAGATTCCACCTCTGGGGGCAGGGCATAGTAAAACAAAAGGCAGCCGACAGCTTCTGCAGACTTAAACGTCCCTGTCTGACAGCTCTGAAGAGAGCAGTGGTTCTCTCAGCACTGCGTTCGAGCTCCGAGAGTGGACAGACTACCTCCTCAAGTAGGTCCATGATCCCCATATAGACTGACTGGGAAACACCTCCCAGTAGGGGTCGACAGACACCTCAAACAGGCAGATGCACCTCTGGGACGAAGCTTCCAGAGGAAGGATCAGGCAGCAATATTTGCTCGTCTGCAGCCTCTGCTGGTGATACCCAGGCAAATAGGGTTTGGCATATACCTCCAGCAAACTCCAATAAACCTGCAGCTGAGGGGTCTGACTGTTAGAAGGAAAACTAACAAACAGAAAGGAATAGCATCAACATCAACAAAAAGGACATCCACACCAAAACCCCATCTGTAGGTCACCAACATCAAAGACCAAAGGTAGATAAAACCACAAAGATGGTGAGAAACCAGAGCAGAAAAGCTGAAAATTCCAAAAAACGAGCACCTCTTCTCCTCCAAAGGATTGCAGCTCCTGGTCAGCAAGGGAACAAGACTGGATGGAGAATGAGTTTGACGAGTTGACGGAAGTAGGCTTCAGAAGGTTGATAATAACAAACTTCTCCGAGATAAAGGAGCATGTTCAAACCCATGGCAAGGAAGCCAAAAACCTTGAAGAAAAGGTTAGAAGAATGGCGAAATAGAATAAACAGGGTAGAGAAGACCTTAAATGACCTGATGGAGCTGAAAACCATGGCATGAGAACTTCATGATGCGTGCACAAGCTTCAATAGCCAATTTGATCAAGTAGAAGAAAGGATGACAATGATTGAAGAACAAATTAATGAAATAAAATGAGAAGACAAGATTAGAGACAAAAGAGTGAAAAGAAATAAACAAAGCCTCCAAGAAATATGGGACTATGTGAAAAGACCAAATATATGTTTGATTGGTATACCAGAAAGTGATGGGGAGAATGGAACCAAGTTAGAAAACACTCTTCAGGATACTATCCAGGAGAACTCCCCTAACCTAGCAAGGCAGGCCAACATTCAAATTCAGGAAATACAGAGAACACCACAAAGGTACTCCTGAAGAAGGGCAACCCCAAGACACATAATTGTCAGATTCACCAAGGTTGAAACGAAGGAAAAAATGTTAAGGGCGGCCAGAGAGAAAGGTCGGGTTACCCACAAAGGGAAGCCCATCAGACTAACAGTGGAAACCCTACAAGCCAGAAGAGAGTGGGGGCCAATATTCGACATTCTTAAAGAAAAGAATTTTCAACACAGAATCTCATATCCAGCCAAACAAAGCTTCATAAGTGAAGGAGAAATAAAATCCTTTACAGACAAGCAAACGCCGAGAAATTTTGTCACCACCAGGCCTGCCTTACAAGAGCTCCTGAAGGAAGCACTAAATCTGAAAAAGAAAAAACTGGTACCGGCCACTGCAAAAAAAATGTCAAATTGTGTAGAGCATCAACACTATGAAGAAACTGCATCAATTAATGGGCAAAATAACCGGCTAACATCATAATGAGGATCAAATTCAAACATAACAATGTTAACCTTAATGTAAATGGGCTAAATGCCCCAATTAAAAAACACAGACTGGCAAATTGGATAAAGAGTCAAGACCCATCAATGTGCTATAGTCAGGAGACGCATCTTATAGGCAAAGACGCATATAAGCTCAAAATAAAGAGATGGAGGAAGATCTACCAAGCAAATGGAAAGAAAAAAAAGAAACTCAGGGGCTGCAATCCTAGTCTCTGATAAAACAGACTTTAAACGAACAAAGATGAAAAGAGACACAGAAGGCTGCTACATAATGATAAAAGCATCAATTCAACAAGAAGAGCTAACTATCTTAAATATATTTACACCCAATAATACAGGAGCACCCAGATTCATAAAGCAAGTCCTTAGAGACCTACAAAGAGATTTAGACTCTCAAACAATAATGGGAGACTTTAACACCCCACTGTCAATATTAGACAGATCAACAAGAGAGAAGGTTAACAATGATATCAGGGACTTGAACTCAGCTTCTCGATGAAGAAGACCTAATAGACATCTACAGAAATCTACACCCCAAATCAACAGAATATGCATTCTTCTCAGCACCACATCACACTTATTCTAAAATTGACCACATAATTGGTAGTAAAACACTCCTCAGCAAATGTAAAAGAACAGAAATCACAACATATTGTCTCTCAGACCACAGTGCAATCAAATTAGAACTCAGGAATAATAAACTCACTCAAAACCACACAACTACATGGAAACTGACCCACCTGCTCCTGAATGACTACTGGTTACATAATGAAATGAAGGCAGAAATAAAGATGTTCTTTGAAACCAATGAGAACAAAGACAAAAGGTACCAAAATCTCTGGGACACATTTAAAGCAGTGTGACAAGGGAAATTTACAGCACTAAATGCCCACAAGAGAAAGCAGGAAAGATCTAAAATTGACAACCTAACATCACAATAAAAGAACTAGAGAAGCAAGAGCAAACAAATTCAAAAGCTAGCAGAAGGCAAGAAATAACTAAGATCAGAGCAGAACTGAAGGATATATAGAAAAAAAAAACCCTTCAAAAAATCAATGAATCCAGGAGCTGGTTTTTTGAAAAGATCAACAAAATAGAAAGAGTGCTAGCAAGACTAATAGAGAAGAAAAGAGAGAAGAATCAAATAGACAAAATAAAAAATTATAAAGGGATACCACCACTGATCCCACAGAAATACAAACTCCCATGAGAGAATACTATAAACACCTCTATGCAAATAAACTAGAAAATCTAGAAGAAATGGATAAATCCCTGGACACGTACACCTACCAAGGCTAAACCAGGAAGAAGTTGAATCTCTGAATAGACCAATAAGAGGCTCTGAAATTGAGGCAATAATTAATAGCCTACCAATAAAAAAAAGTCCAGGACCAGACAGATTGACAGCTGAATTCTACCAGAGCTACGATGAGGAGCTGGTACCATTCCTTCTGAAACGATTTCAATGAACAGAAACAGAGGGAATCCTCCCTGACTCATGTTATGAGGCCAACGTTATCCTGATACCAAAGCCTGGCACAGACACAACAAAAAAAGAGAATTTGAGGCCAATATCAGTGATGAACATTGATGTGAAAATCCTCAATAAAATACTGGCAAACCGAATCCAGCAGCACATGAAAAAGCTTATCCACCATGATCAAGTCGACTTCATCCCTGTGATGCAAGGCTGGTTCAACATACACAAATCAATAAATGTAATCCATCACATAAACAGGCCCAATGACAAAAACCACATGATAATCTCAATAGATGCAGAAAGGCCTTTGATAAAATTCAACACCCCTTCATACTAAAAACTCTCAATAAACTAGTTATTGATGGAATGTATCTCAAAATAATAAGAGCTATTTATGACAAACCCACAGCCAATATCATACGGAATGGGCAAAAACTGGAAGCATTCCCTTTGAAAACTGGCACAAGACAAGGATGCCCTCTCTCACCACTCCTATTCACCATAGTGTTGGAACTTCTGGCTAGGGCAATCAGACAAGAGACAGAAATAAAGTACATTCGATTAGGAAAAGAGGAAGTCAAAATGTCTCTGTTGGCAGATGACATGATTATATATTTAGAAAACCCTAACGTTTCAGCACAAAATCTCCTTAAGCTGATAAGCAATTTCAGCAAAGTCTCGGGATACAAAATCAATGTTCAAAATTCAGAAGCATTCCTATACACCAATAACAGACAAACAAAGAGCAAAATCATGAGGGAACTCCCATTCACAATTACTACAAAGAGAATAAAATACCCAGGAATCCAACTTACAAGGGATGTGAAGGACCTCTTAAGGGAGAACTACAAACCACTGCTCAATGAAATAAAAGAGGACAAAAATAAATTAAATAAAATTTCATGCTTATGGATAGGAAGAATCAATATCATGAAAATGGCCATACTGCCCAAAGTAATTTATAGATTCAATGCTATCCCCATCAAGCTACCAATGACTTTCTTCACAGAAGTGGAAAAAAACACTTTAAAGTTCATATGGAACCAAAAAAGAGCCCACATTGCCAAGACAATCCTAAGCCAAAAGAACAAAGCTGGAGGCATCACACTACCTGACTTCAAACTATACTGCAAGCCTACAGTAACCAAAACAGCACAGTACTGGTACCAAAACAGATATATAGAACAATAGAACAGAACAGCGGCCTCAGAAATAACACCACACATCTACAACCATCTGATCTTTGACAAACCTGACAAAAACAAGAAATGGGGAAAGGATTCCATATTAAATAAATGGTGCTGGGGGAACTGGCCAACTATATGTAGAAAGCTGACACTGGATCCCTTCCTTACAGGGTATACAAAAAGTAAGTCAAGATGGATTAAAGACTTAAATGTTAGACCTAAAACCATAAAAACCCTAGAAGAAAACCTAGGCAATACCATTCAGGACATAGGCATGGGGAAAGACTTCATGTCTAAAACACCAAAAGCAATGGCAACAAAAGCCAAAATAGACAAATGGGATCTAATTAAACTAAAGAGCTTCTGCACAGCAAAATAAACTATCATCAGAGTGAACAGGCAACCTACAGAATAGGAGAAAATTTTTGCAATCTACCCATCTGACAAATGGCTAATATCCAGAATCTACAAAGAACTCAAACAAATTTACAAAAAACAAACAAACAAACAAACAAAAAACAATTCCATCAAAAAGTGGCAAAGGATATGAACAGACATTTCTCAAAAGAAGATATTTATGCAGACAACAGACATATGCAAAAATGTTCATCATTACTAGTCATCAAAGAAATGCAAATCAAAACCACAATGAGATACCATCTCATTCCAGTTAGAATGGCGATCATTAAAAAGTCAGGAAACAACAGATGTTGGAGAGGATGTGGAGAAACAGGAGCGGTTTTACACTGTTCTTGTGAGTGTAAACTAGTTCAACCATTGTGGAAGATAGTGCGGTGGTTCCTCAGGATCTAGAACTAGAAATACCATTTGACCCACCAATCCCATTACTGTGCATATACCCAAAGGATTATAAATCATTCTACAATAAAGACACATGCACACATAAGTTTATTGCAGCACTATTCACAATAGCAAAGACTTGGAACCAACCCAAATGTCCATCAATGATAGACTGGATTAAGAAAATGTGGTACAAATACATCATGGAATACTATGCAGCCATAAAAAAGGATTAGTTCATGTCCTTTTCAGGGACGTGGATGAAGCTGGAAACTATCATTCTAAGCAAACTATCACAAGGACAGAAAACCAAACCTCATATGTTCTCACTCATAAGTGGGTGTTGAACAATGAGAACACATGGACACAGGGCGGGGAACATCACACACCAGGGCCAGTCAGGGGTGGAGGCCTGGGGGAAGGATAGCATTAGGAGAATTACCTAATGTAAATGACAAGTTGATGGGTGCAGCAAACCAAAGTGGCACATGTATACCTATGTAACAAACATCCACATTGTGCACATGTACCCTAGAACTTAAAATATAATAAAAAATTTAAAAAATAAAAAAAACAAAGACAGTGAGATATAAGAAAAAAACAAATACATAATACAAAGATGTCAGGGAAACACTTGATTATCTGAATAAGTAATTCAAGAAAGAGATAGATGTGATAAAATAATAACCACACAGAAATCCTGGAACTGAAGAATTCAATGAATGAAATAAAAATATAATCCAGAGCTTCAACAATGAACCAGATCAAGCAGGAGAAAGGACTTCTGAATTTGAAATAACTCAGCAGAAAAACAAAGAAACAAACAAAAGCATTCAGGAAAAAAATAATAACAAAAGCCTATGTGACTTGTGAGACACCATAAAATGACCAAATATTTGAATTTAGGGAATTCCAGAAGGAGAAGAGATTGGCAAAAGCATAGCAAACCTATTTCATAAAATAATAGCTGAAAACTTCCTAAATCTTTTAAGAGATTATAGACATCCAGCTATAGAATTAAAAACAGCAAAATGTCAAGTCACCTATAAGAAAATCACTAATAAAGTACCAACAGATTTATCAGCAGAAAACTTACAGTGCAGGAGAAAATGGAATGCTGTATTTCAAAGTGCTGAAAGAAAAAAAAAATTGTCAATCAAGAATACCATACACAGAAAAGCTATCCTTCAAAAATAAAGGAGAAATAAAATCTTTACCAGACAATAATAAAAAAGAGGGAATTCATCACCTCTAAAACAACCATACAAGAAATTCATAAGGAATTCCTACATCTGGAAGCCAAACCACAAATCTACCATCATGAAAAAAGGAGAAAATATAAAACTCATTGGTAGAGCAGACACACAAATGAGAAAGAGAAAGGTGTCAAAAGTTACCACTACAGAAAACCACCAAACTGTAGTTATTTTCACAGAATTAGAAAAAACAATCCTGCAATACATATGATACCATAAAATACCCTTAGTAGCCAAAGTAATTCTGCCAAAAATGAACAACATTGGAGGCATAACACTATGTAACTTCATATTACAAAGCCATGGTAACCAAAATAGTATAGTGCTGGCCAAAAAACAAACAAAAACGAAACAAAACAAAACAAAACAAAAAAACAGATACATAGACCAATGGATTAGAAAGAGCACCCAGAAATAAATCCACACATTTACAGACAATGCATTTTCAGCAAAGGAGCCAAGAATATACATTGGGAAAAGGACTGTGTCTTCAATAAATGGTACAGGGAAAATTGGATATCCATATGCAGAAGAATAAAACAAGTCCCTTGTAGGGAGACCCCCCTGAAACTATTGCTACGGAGTGGAAGATGAAATGCTCCTGATTATTGTAAGTACAAAATTGTATGCAAGATTGTGTAAAGACAATGCCAGGTTGGACTGCCAGAATGAGCCAACAGCGTATGATGTGCTTTCCCCTGAAAAGAGCCTATGAATGAACATGCAGTCGGGGAGGTTTCACATCACCAAGATTCCTATCCCAGAAAAGCAGATATTCATAGCTCTGGGAATGGAATGAGACCCTTGTGGAGAGCCTATAAATGGATGCATGAGGGGTGCCTGTTCATATGGATAAGATAGGGCTATAAATGCCATCATCTTGCCACAGCTCTTCTAGGCCTCCTTAGGGTTAAGGCATACACCCTTCTGAGAATTTCTGGTCTAACCAGTTGTCTAGCTTTATGTCTTGTTTCTATGGATTGTTTGTAACCAGCTTTTGCTGCACTGTTACTGCTGATTAATATCTTGCTAATCATAGGTTATGGAAAGACTGTGTTTCTGTTTTAAGGCTCTGTTAGAAATTACTGATGCACACGCTCTATTGTAAATTCTTATCTCTGTATACTGTACTTCTGCATACAGATGTTATGTTAAAGAATTACTTCATCCCCATGTGACCATTTCACCTCATAATCAAACAACACTAAATCCCTCACTAACTTACCCCCGCCCTCACTAAACTTAATAATAAATGCTGGCATATCCAGTGCATTGGCAGCATCACAGGACCAGAAGACGATGACACCCCTGGACCCAGTTTTCACTATTTTGTGTTTGTCTTTTATTTCTCGACCTGCTGATCCACCTGGGAACAAAGAAAGAGTCCCGTTGCATTGCGGGCTGCTGGCCAGATCCCACAATAGTCCCTTATCTCTCACTATATGCAAAAATCAACTCAAAATATCAGACCTCAAACCATGAAACTACTGGAAGAAAACTGTGGAAAAACACTTCAGAACATTGATCTGGGTGAAGATGTTTTTTAGTAAGATCTCAAAAACAGAGTCAACTGAAAAAAATAAGCAAATTAAAAAGGTTCTTCATATCAAAAGTGACAGTCAGCAGAGGAAAGAGACAACTTGTTGAATGGGTGAAAGTATTTGCAAGCTATCCATTCAATAAGGGACTAATATCCAAAATATACAAAGAATAGAGACAATTGAATAGAAAAAAAATTCCAAAAATTGGACAAAGCCCATGTGAATACACATTTTTCAGAAGATGTACAAATGGCCAAAATATATATAAAAAAATGCTCAGTATCACTAACCATCATGGAAATGCAAAACAAAACCCTAATGAGATATCATCTCTCTCCAGTTAAAATGACTATTACCAAAAAGACAGACAATAGCAAATGTTGCCAAGAATATCAAGTAAAGGGAACTCATACATTGTTGGTGAGAATGAGAATTAGTACAGACATTATGAAGAAAAGTTTGGAGGTTTCTCAAAAAACTAAAAGTAAACAATTATATCTTCCAGCAATCTCAGTACTGGGTATTTCTCCAAAGGAACAGAATTAGTAAATCAAAAGGTTACCTGTACCTCCATATTTATTGCAGCATTATTCACAATAGCCAAGGTATAGAATCAACTTATGTCCATTACCAGTTAAATGGATAAATAAAATGTGGCATATGTGCACAATTACATACTATTCAGCCATTAAAAAGAATAAAATCCAATCATTTGCCACAATATGAATGGAACTGGAAGTCATATTATTAAGTGAGTTAACCCAAGTACAGAAAGACAAATATCATATATTCTCACTCATGTATATAGGAGCTAAATATTTGATCCCATGGAAGTGGAGTAGAAGAGCTTCCAGTGGCTGAGTAGGGCCAGGGAGAATGAAGAGCGGGTACATAATGTGCACAAACATACAACCAGACAGAGGGAATATGTTCTAGTGTTCAAAAGTACAGTACTGTGACTATAGTTAACAACAATTTATTTTATATTTCAATATAGGTATAAGAGAAAATTTGAATTTTTCTCAACCCAAATATATGGTAAATGCTTGAGGTGATGGATATCCTACATACCCTAGTTTGCTCATTACACATTGTATACATGTATCAAAATGTCATTGTATTCCATAAGTATGTACAATCATGTATCAATTAAAATTTTTTTAAATTAGATTGGCCAAAAAGATAATAACAGGAGAAAAACAGACAAAAGTTTATTAACACATACATTGTGCATATACATGAGGACATTCAGTGATGAGTAACTTCATGGCATGGTTAGAACTTGAGCTTATATAGCATTTTAGCAGAGAACAATAATTTGTACAAAAATGACAAGAAAAAGAAGATGACTTGGAGCTTCTAGATGTGGCAAATTGTGGGAAGGTAAATATTTTGGAGAGCCAATGTTAGACAAGGGCTGGTTAGTAAGGTTTGTTAAATAGATTCCTCTATATAATCCTCTGTATGCCATCTTTTGGCTGATAAGCATCTAGAGTTGCCTCTAGTGATTAACTTCATCTTTCCTGGTAGAGAGTGATGAGAAGATACCTTTACAAATTTATGTATTGCTTTTGGCACAAAGGGGAAGGCAGAAAAGTTTTTTCTGTATCAGCTTCATCTTAATTGCCTGTAGCTCAAAATAAATCTTATGCCAAAGTAGTGTATTTTGGGGTGCCATATTCTGTTACATTTTACACACGAATAAACATAAAATTTGTGTTTATTTTCAAATATGTATTCTAGGCTAGCTACATTGCATAGTACAGTGCTTTGTAGGTACTAAATGTGCAATAAATAGGTATTGAGTAAATGAATGCATAATATTTTATTATTTCTCTATTTAATCTCTACTTCTGCCCCATCTGTAGAAAGAGAATGTTCCTTTATTTGACATGAAATAATACAATTTGGGTTAGCAAGCATTGAAACCTGTGCATTTTCAACACATCTATAATGGGTCAATCAATATTGTAAAATGGAGAGCCTGAATTTGAAAGCTCAGTCATATCATCTGTGAGTGGGGTGAACTCTTAACTTTTTCAACTTCAGTAAAATTGTGATGTTATGGTTATATTTGTCTGACAAGATTAGTGTGAAGATTAAATGAGATAGTGTAGTTAAGCAGCCCTTGCTAAATGATAAACATGTACTAACTTTAACTGCTATTGAAAAAGTAATAATAGGAGATAAAACTTTCAAATCAAGTACTCATAATAGCATGAAGATTCTTCAAAATGGAGGAGAGTGAAAAGTTCAGGAAGAATCTATAATGTCTAAAAATGAAGGCTACTTTAACATGTTATGACAGTTTTATAAAGGGAATGTAATTGAGGCATTACAAAGAATGAGGCAGATATTTTCATACCAATATAGAAGTATTCTGAAGGCAAATTAAGTGAAAAAAATGAAACAGAATTGTATGTGTGATATATGATCTTTTTTGAGATGGATTTATGTCTGTTTGTAAATATATGTTTACTTGTGTATGCATGTTTTGAAGAATATTTAAGCAATTGATTTTATATATATATAAAATATATTTCATTCTGGGCAAAAATGTGGTTGGTTAGAAAAGGAGGAAGAATAATAATTTCTTTTACTATATATTTTGAACGTGTACACTGTTGTCTAGTGGTTAGCTACACATAAGGCTGAATAACAAACCACTCCTAAATTTAATGGCTTAAATCAATGATCATTTATTCTATTTCAGGTACCTCTGGTTTGGCTGCAGTTCAATTGATCTAAGCTGGGCAGAGTTAGGCTTGAGTCCAAGATTCAGGTTGGGTTTAAGTATATTCCCCGTGTTTTTTTTTTTTTATTTTTCGTAGACAGCCAGGCTAGCCAGCACATTATCTGCCTGTGGTGATGCCAGAAACATGAATCAATACCTCATCGTGCCAGTAAGCTTCAGGTGTTTGCTTGTGTCACACCAGTAAATATTTATTTGATTAAAGCAAGTGACATGACAAAGCCTAAAATTTCAGAGATTTAATCTACTCACCATAACATAAAATAAAGTTACATGGCCAAAATCAGCACCTGTTGGGAGGAGAAATGTAGTTCTACTCTCAATCACGTGGAGGAGGAAATGATTAGTATCCTAAGCAATCATTCACCATATTTATGACTGCATTACCTATTCAAAATATATGTAAAGGAGAATCCACAAGAAAACAAAACAAAAGGGGTGGAAAAGTGTTCATCTATAGGTTAAGCACAAGAAAGATAATACACCTAATGACAGCAGTATCAGAATAAAGATTCATTATGTAGTTTTTCCAGAGATGAGGAAAGCATATTATTTAACAAACTCACCATATATGGACATTATCCAAGTATCGAGGATAATCTAAAGAGAAAATTAAAAAAGAAGGGATGTTAACTTTGAAGATCCACTGTTTTCTTCCTCTGATCTTACAGAGAAAATTAACTCTCACTAATACACAGCTACAGAATGATTTTTGTCCTTATTTCTTTAGCATATCATTTATCATGTAAACCATTTTCAGCCTGTTTTTTGTACGGAGTTCATTTATTTATTTCATGTTTCTATAGTTGGACATGTTCTAATGTCCAAATTTGCATTTGTTTATTCCTGTTCTGTTTGCAATTAAAAACAAAGTAAGAGCAATAGAGACCTCTGTAGTTTTCAGACAATTTTGTGTTATTTTTCTTCCACTGTGTATTTATTAGTCTTTATTAAAGATTAAACAAATGATGGATTCATTTCAAAAGTACCTTGATTTTCAGTATTTTAAAGTTTATATATTAGAATTAAAAAATCAGTCAATTACATCAATGCCGTTATAGTATTTACCATCAGTCTGGGAAATTTGTTTTTCCTGAAGGGAGTTTGAACAAATTTTCTCCTGAAAGCATGTTATGCTGAAGGAGCTCTCTCCTCTGTAGCAACTCTATCAGAGGGGACAGAAAATTACTTTGTTTAAAGATCCAGAATAGGACACATGATGCTAATCTTTGCTCTACCTTGACCAAGTCTCTTAGGTTATCTTTACTGCAGCCTCGTCTGCTAAATGAAGATAAGAAACTTTCTGTCCCTTCCTTAATTTTATATAAAATTATTTTTTAAATGTGGTACCTCCAGAAGGGAGTCCATATGGCAACCACTTTACCACAGTAGATGACCCAGATTTAAAGCATTAAATAGATAAGTAGAAGAGAAAAGGTAAACCATGCTACCCATGGTGCAGCACAAATTTGTTGGCAAAATCTGGTGGCCATATGGACTTCTGTAAAGCTGTCAAAAGTCTAAGTAGAAGATAAGAAAGAGCCACTATGCCCATGATACAGGCAGAAATCATTCAAAACCTGTTTGACCACATACGCAGAAAGGACTAAATAATAAATGAACTATCTTTTGGAGTTTGAATACACTAGATCCAATTTAAAAAATACACTAGATTCAATACACTAGATCCAATCTGTAGTCCCTCAATATATCTGCCTATTCCCGTATCAGCCAACAAGAGGAAAATAGTCACCCACAATGGAAATTTACAAGAGGGATGTATCAAATACAAATTTTATCAGAGAGAGTTCAGAGGCAAGGAAGATTTTATTCAAGACTATTGCAATAGAGAGGAGAGATTGAACTCAACTCTGTGGAAACAAAAGACAGGAGGGTTTTAAGCAATAGGTGATCTGGTAGAAAAATACTGGAAAATTTTAATGGGAGGTTGATCAATGTGTTTAGGCTGTGTTTGCTAATTATACTTTATTGAAATTAGGTTCCTACCCTCCTACTGAGACTAGGAGATGGGTATTATCTTTCTTGATCATTGCGTTTCAAAGGAATGGCTTGACGAAAGTCCTTCAGAAAGACATTTCTGTGTTGTAAAATTGTCAAGAGTCTGGGAGAAGATTTACATTTCAAAGAAGCAGAGGTAGAATTAATAATTACAAGTTTTGTGAAGTAGATGCTCTAAAAAAGCAGATCAGGGACCTATAATCAGGAACAAAAAAAACCCCTCTACAAAGTTCAGACAAGCTAAAGAGAATATTAAGGCTGCTTTGGTCAGATGATAGGGTTAGTTTGATTAATAAAACAGGATGGAAGAAATCAAGGAAGACTGAGGGTAAAGAATGGAATTAACTCATTTGATTATTTATTTATTAATTTTATTTGTTATTATACTTTAAGATCTAGGGTACATGTGCACAATGTGCAAGTTTGATACATAGGTATACATGTGCCATGTTGGTTTGCTGCACCCATCAACTAATCATTTACATTAGGGATTTCTCCTAATGCTATCCCTCCCCCAGGCCCCCATCCCCCAACAGGCCCTGGTGAGTGATGTTCCCCGCCCTGTGTCCAAGTGATCTCATTGTTCAATTCCCACCTATGAGTGAGAACATGCGGTGTTTGGTTTTCTGTCCTTGTGATAGTTTACTGAGAGTGATGGTTTCCAGCTTCATCCATGTCCCTACATAGGACATGCACTTATCCTTTTTTATGGCTGCATAGTATTCCGTGGTGTATATGTGCCACATTTTCTTAATCCAGTCTATCATTCATGGACATTTGGGTTGGTTCCAAGTCTTTGCTGTTGTGAATAGTGCTGCAATAAACATACATGTGCATGTGTCTTTCTAGTAGCATCATTTATAATCCCTGGGGTATACCCAGTAATGGGATTACTCAGTCAAATGGTAATTCTAGTTCTAGTTCTTTGAGGAATTGCCACACTGTCTTCCACAATGGTTGAACTAATTTACACTCCCACTGACAGTGTAAAAGCATTCCTATTTCTCCACATCCTCTCTAGCATCTGCTGTTTCCTGACTTTTTAATGATTGTCATTCTAACTGGCATGAGATGGTATCTCATTGTGGATTTGATTTGCATTTCTCTGATGACCAGTGGTGATGAGCATTTTTTCATGTGTCTGTTGGCATCATAGATGTCTTCTTTTGAGAAGTGTCTGTTCATATCATTTGCCTACTATTTGATGGGATTGTTTGTTTTTTTCTTGTAAAAATTTCTTTGAGTTCTTTGTGGATTCTGGATATTAGCCATTTGTCAGATGGGTAGATTGCAAAAATTTTCTCCCATTCTGTTGGTTGCCTGTTCACTGTGATGATAGTTTCTTTTACTGTGCAGAAGCTCTTTAGTTTAATTAGATCCCATTTGTCTATTTTGGCTTTTGTTGCCATTGCTTTTGGTGTTCTAGACATGAAGTCCTTCCCCATGCCTATGTCCTGAATGGTATTGCCTAGGTTTTCTTCTAGGGTTTTTATGGTTTTAGGTCTAACATTTAAGTCTTTAATCCATCTTGACTTAATTTTTGTATAAGGTGTAAGGAAGGGATCCAGTTTCAGTTTTCTACATATAGCTAGCCAGTTTTCCCAGCACCACTTATTAAATAGGGAATCCTTTCCCCATTTCTTGTTTTTGTCAGGTTTGTCAAAGATCAGATGGTTGTAGATGTGTGGTGTTATTTCTGAGGCCGCTGTTCTGTTCTATTGTTCTATATATCTGTTTTGGTACCAGTACCATACAGTTTTGGTTACTATAGCATTGTAGTATAGTTTAAAGTCAGGTAGTGTGATGCCTCCAGCTTTGTTCTTTTGGCTTAGGATTGTCTTGGCAATGCAGGCTACTTTTTGGTTACATATGAACTTTAAAGTAGTTTTTTCCAATTCTGTGAAGAAAGTCATTGGTGGCTTGATGGGGATGGCATTGGATATATAAATTACTTTGGGCAGTATGGCCATTTTCATGATATTGATTCTTCCTAGCCATGAGCATGGAATATTTTTCCATTTGTTTGTGTCCTCTTTTATTTCATAGAGCAGTGGTTTGTAGTTCTCCTTGAAGAGGTCCTTCACATCCCTTGTAAGTTGGATTCCTAGGTATTTTATTCTCTTTGAAGCAATTGTGAATGGGAGTTTACTCATGATTTGGCTCTCTGTTTGTCTGTTATTCATGTATAGGAATGCTTGTGATTTTTGCACTTGATTTTGTATCCTGAGACTTTGCTGAAGTTGCTTATCAGCTTAAGGATATTTTGGGCTGAGATGATGGGGTTTTCTAAGGATACAATCATGTCATCTGCAAACAGGGACAATTTGACTTCCTGTTTTCCTAATTGAATACCTTTGTTTCTTTCTCTTGCCTGATTGCCCTGGCTAGAACTGCCAACACTATGTTGAGTAGGAGTGGTGAGAGAGGGCATCCTTGTCTTGTGCCGGTTTTCAAAGGGAATGCTTCCACTTGTTGCCCATTCAATATGATATTGGCTGTGGGTTTGTCATAAATAGCTCTTCTTATTTTGAGATACATTGCATCAATACCTAGTTTATTGAGAGTTTTTAACATGAAGGGCTGTTGAATTTTGTCGAAGGCCTTTTCTGCATCTATTGAGATTATCATGTGGTTTCTGTCATTGGGCCTGTTTATGTGATGGATTACATTTATTGATTTGTGTATGTTGAACCAGCCTTGCATCCGATGGATGAAGCCGACTTGATCGTATTGGATAAGCTTTTTGATGCACTGCTGGATTTGGTTTGCCAGTATTTTATTAAGGATTTTTGCACTGATGTTCATCAGGGATATTGGTCCAAAATTCTCTTTTTTATTGTGTCTCTGCCAGGCTTTGGTCTCAGGATGATGTTGGCCTCGTAACATAAGTTAGGGAGGATTCCCTCTTTTTCTATTAATTGGAATAGTTTCAGAAGGCATGGTACCAGCTCCTCTTTATACCTCTGGTAGAATCGGCTGTTAATCTGTCTGTTCCTGGACTTTTTTTGCTTGTTAGGCTATTAATTATTGCCTCTATTTCAGAGCCTGTTATTGGTCTATTCAGAGACTCAACTTCTTCCTGGTTTAGTCTTGGGAGGGTGTATGTGTCCAGGAATTTCTCCATTTCTTCTAGATTTTCTAGTTTATTTGCATGGAAGTGTTTATAGTATTCTCTCACGGTAGTTTGTATTTCTGTGGGATTAGTGGTGATATCCTCTTTATCATTTTTTATTGTGTCTATTGATTCTTCCCTCTTTTCTTCTTTATTAGTCTTGCTAGCACTCTATCTATTTTGTTGATCTTTTCAAAAAACCAGCTCCTGGTTTCCTTGATTTTTTGAAGGATTTTATGTCTCTATCTCTTTTAGTTCTGCTCTGATCTTAGTTATTTCTTGCCTTCTGCTAGCTTTTGAATTTGTTTGCTCTTGCTTCTATACTTCTTTTAATTGTGATGTTAAGTTGTCAATTTTAGATCCTTCCTGCTTTCTCTTGTGGGCATTTAGTGCTATAAATTTCCCTTGACACTCTGCTTTAAATGTGTCCCAGATATTTTGGTACGTTGTGTCTTTGTTCTCATTGGTTTCAAAGAACATCCTTATTTCTGCCTTCATTTCATTATTTACTCAGTATTCTTTTAGGAGCAACTTGTTCAGTCTCCATGTAGTTGTGTGGTTTTGAGAGATTTTATTAATCCTGAGTTCTAATTTGATTGCACTGTGGTGTGAGAGACAGTTTGTTGTGGTTTCTGTTCTTTTATATTTGCTGAGGAGTGCTTTACTTCCAATTGTGTGGTCAGTTTTAGAATATGTGTGATGTGGTGCTGAGAAGAATGAATATTCTGTTGATTTGTGGTGGAGCGTTCTGTAGATGTCTATTAGGTCTGCTTGTTGCAGAGCTGAGTTCAGGTCCTGGATATCCTTGTTAACCTTTTGTCTTGTTTATCTGTCTAATATGGACAGTGGGGTGTTAAAGTCTCCCATTATTATTGTGTGGGAGTCTCAGTCTCTTTGTAGGTCTCTAAGGACTTGCTTTATGAATCTGGGTGCTCCTGTATTGGGTTCATATATATTTAGGATAGTTAGCTCTTCTTGTTGAATTAATCACTTTACCATTATGTAATGGCCTTCTTTGTCTCTTTTGATCTTTGTTGGTCTAAAGTCTGTTTTATCAGAGACTAGGATTGCAACCTCTGCTTTTTTTGCTTTCCATTTGCTTGGTAAATCTTCCTCTATCTCTTTATTTTGAGGCTATGTGCATCTTTGCACGTAAGATTGTTCTCCTGAATATAGCACACTGATGGGTCTTGACTCCTTATCCAATTTCCCAGTCTGTGTCTTTTAATTGGGGGCATTTAGCCCATTTACATTTAAGGTTAATAATATTATGTGTGAATTTTATACTATCATTATGATGTTTGCTGGTTATTTTGCCTGTTAATTGATGCAGTTTCTTCCTAGCATTGGTGGTCTTTACAATTTGGCATGTTTTTGCAGTGGCTGGTACTGGTTGTTTCTTTCCATGTTTAGTGCTTCCTTCTGGAGCCCTTTTAAGGCACACCTGGTGGTGACAGAATCTCTCAGTATTTGCTTACCTTTAAAGGATTTTATTTTCCTTCACTTATGAAGCTTAGTCTGGCTGGATATGAAATTATGGGTTGAAAATTCTTTTCTTTAAGGATGTTGAATATTGGCCCCCCCTCTCTTCTGGCTTGTAGGGTTTCTCCTGATAGAGCCCCTGTTAGTCTGATGGGCTTCCCTTTGTGGGTAACTCGACCTTTCTCTCTGGTTGCTCTTAACACTTTTTCCTTCATTTCCACCTTGTTGAATCTGACAATCATGTCTTGGCATTGACCTTTTCGAGGAGTATCTTTGTGGTGTTCTGTGTATTTCCTGAATTTGAATGTTGGCCTAGGTTAGGGAATGTAGCTAGGTTAGGGAAGTTCTTCTGGACAATATCCTGAAGAGTGTTTTCCAACTTGGTTCCATTCTCCCCATTGTTTTCATGTACACCACTCAAACGTAGATTTGGTCTTTTCCCATAGTCCCATACTTCTTGGAGGCTTTGTTTGTTTCTTTTCACTTTTTTTCTCTAACCTTGTTTTCTCACTTTATTTCATAAATTTGATCTTCAATCACTGATACCCTTTCTTCCACTTGATCGAATTGGCTATTGCAGCTTGTGCATGTGTCACGAAGTTCTCGTGCCATTGTTTTCAGCTCCATCAGGTCATTTAAGGTCTTCTCTACACTGTTTATAGTACTTAGCCATTCATCTAATCTTTTTTCAAGGTTTTTAGCTTCCTTGCAATGGGTTCAAACATCCTCCTTTGGCTCAGAGAAGTTTATTACTGACCTTCTGAAGCCTACTTCTGTCAACTCTTCAAAGTCATTCTCTGTCCAGCTTTGTTCCGTTGCTGGTGAGGAGCTGCAATCCTTTGGAGGAGAATAAGTGCTCTGCTTTTTAGAATTTTCAGCTTTTCTGCTCTGGTTTCTCCCCATCTTTGTGGTTTTTATCTACCTTTGGTCTTTGATGTTGATGACCTACACTGTCACAAAGGTGTTTTGTTGTAGATGTCCTTTTTGTTGATGTTGATGCTATTCCTTTCTGTTTGTTAGTTTTCCTTCTAACAGTCAGGTCCCTCAGCTGCAGGTCCCTCAGCTGCAGGTCTGTTGGAGTTTACTGGAGTTCCACTCCAGACCCTGTTTGCCAGGGTATCACCAGTGGAGGCTGCCCAACAGCAAATATCGCAGAACAGCAAATATTGCTGCCTGATCCTTCCTCTGGAAGCTTTGTCCCAGAGAGGCAGCTGCCTATATGAGGTGTCTGTCCACTCCAACTGGCAGGTGTCTCCCAGTTTGGCTGCACGGGGCTCAGGGACCCACTTGAGGCAGCAGTCTGTCTGTCCTCAGAGCTCAAACGCCCTGCTGGGAGAATGACTACTCTCTTCAGAGCTGTCAGACAGGGACGTTTAAGTCTGCAGAAGTTGCCTGCTTTTCTGTTCTGCTATGCCCTGCCCGCAGAGGTGGAGTGTAGAGGTAGTTGGCCTTGTTGAGCTGCAGTGGGTTCTGCCCAGTTCGACCTTCCAGCTGCTTTGTTTACCTACTCAAGCCTTGGCAATGGCATATGCTCCTCCCCCTGCCAGGCTGCCACCTCGCAGATTGAACTCAGACTGCTGTACTAGCAGTGAGCAAGACTCCGTGAGTGCGGAACCTGCTAAGCCAGGAACTGGAGAGAATCACCTCGTCTGTCGGTTGCTAAGACTTTGGGAAAAGCATCGTATTTGGGCGAGAGTGCCCCGTTTTTCCAGGTAGTCTGTCACAGCTTCCCTTTGCTAGGAAAGGGAAATCCCCTGACCCCTTGTGCTTCCCTGCCCTGCTTCGGCTCACCCTTTGTGGGCTGCACCCACTGTCCAACCAGTCCCAATGAGATGAACCAAGTACCCCAGTTGGAAATGCAGAAATCTCCTTTCTTCTGCATTGATCACGCTGGGAGCTGTAGACTGGAGCTGTTCCTGTTTGGCCATCTTGAAACACCCAGCAAAACTCATCTGGTTTTTGAAATTCATTCTGTGAAATAAAATTACTCAAAGCTTAATTTGCTATATGCATGTGTCATGCATTATTAAATACAATTTGTTAAAGGAGAAGTGGTTCTCGTCTTCTGGGACTTTACTTAGTAAAAAATGTGACACATGTAAACACACACACACCCCATACTCCCTTATAACTTTAAAACCAGGTAAAACTGAATAAGAATTCTCCCACAAAATGATATAGAAGCAAAAGGAATAATGGTTTTCAAGATGACTTCATGAGGGTGGGTAGATTTTGTATAAAACTGATTTGAATTTGGTGGTAAAAATGTAGGTTAGAGTTTCCAAAAGAACTAAATTACCTTCTACAAATATTTTTGACAATAAAATTTTTAAAAGAAAAATTTTGAATGCAATTTTAAAAATTAAGTGTCTATGCCAGGCAAGGTGGCTCATGCCTGTAATCCCAGCACTCTGGGAGGCCAAGGCGGGTGGATCAACTCTGTTCGGGAGTTTGAGACCAGCCTGACCAACATAGAGAAACCCTGTCTCTACCAAAAATACAAAATTAGCCAGATGTGATGGCACATGCCTGTAATCCCAGCTACTCAGGATGCTGAGGCAGGAGAATCACTTGATCCCAGGAGGCGGAGGTTGCAGTGAGCCGAGATCGGGCCATTGCATTCCAGACTGGGCAACAAGAGCAAAACTCTGTCTCAAAAAAAAAAAAAAGAAAAAGTGTCTGTGAGGAAAATTTACTTTAGTATCATCTTTTGATTTATTTATTTTTAAAAATTCCTTGGAGTACCACATGTGTTATGCATCTGTTATCCATTGTAGATTCAAAGATAAATACTACACTATCCCCTCAAAGTACTCATAGGTGCAAGTGATAACAGTCAAAATGAACAAAAAATTACAAGAGAAAATGGTAAAAATCATAAGTAGTAACACATAAAAGGGGAGATCAAATGCCTTTGTATTACAGAAAGCTTCAAAGAAGTTAAAGCATTGAGAGGAGGACAAAAGTGATTTTGTAGCACTGTGCTGACAAAGCAAACTAGCTAAGGATGAAATTCTGTTACTTCTCCATCCTAACCCATTCTGTGGCTTTCCATCATATTTAAATTTTTAAAAATTAATTTTGTTGGTCTGCAAGTTGTCTATTTCTCCAACGTCCTACTATAACTCTTTGCTTCCATGCTACAAATTTCAAATTCACTGGCCTGCCCTCAGTTTCTAGAATGTGTCAAACATATGCCCCTGTCTGCTTTCTACACAGCTGGATTTATCTCATCCCTCCTCTCACCTGATTCATATCATAATCCCATAGGTATCTTTCCAGAACATCCTACCCAGGTATCTCCATCACTCGTTATTCTCAGTAACAACAAAGTAACTTCTCTGTTCAACTTATCATTTACTTTTATTTTAGAATTTTAACCATTAATTATTCCTTCTTCTGAAAGAGGACAGTAAAGAAATTTCACAAATAAATAAATATACAGCTATGTCTGGTGCCCACAGGGGAAACAAAAATAGGAAGCAAAGTATTAAATATAGTATAGTAACATTTGTGCTTATATTTGTAAAAAACAAAACAAAACAAAACAAAACTGGAAGGCCAAAATGAAAACTAATAAAAACGTTTGTTTATACAGGTGGCAGGGAACAGAGGGAGAGGATAAGAATGAAAGTGAGATGTTTCTGAGCATATGTTGTTATTAATTCTGACTTAAGACACGCAAGATTTGTATATATTAAAAATAAATTACATAAAAGTGCAAGTCTTAAAAATTCAGATCAAACTAAAACAAATGAACATATCAAGTTGGTGATTAACCACACAGGCAAAAATTAATAATTTCAACATGATTCAGAACATAGTATTGTGGCAGTACATCCTTAAAGGGGATAGGTACAAAGGAAACCTAAGGCAAACCTTTATTCAGCTTTATTGCTCTAGTTAGGACACCACTATGGTTATTTAAATGTTATTTTATGTGTTGTAGAATAAAGTAAATAAAAGTTTGTATTTTTAAAATTTTTCTTGTAGGAGAAAGGAGTTAAAATTATAAAATTTTAAAAAGTTAAGGAAAAACTATAATATTGAATTTAATGTTAAGTATAAACTCATAGTTTTTGTTGCTGTTGTTGTTAAAAAATTTTCCCCATCTCTGTCCACTGAAAATGCCTAGAAGCAATGACAACTCAGTAGCTCTGAGCACTCACCTGTACACATCATGTTCTCTAAATATTATTTCTTACTAAAAGTAATTAGGGCTGCTTGGAAAAATAACTTGTTCTGGGTCTAGGGCAGGATATGTACAAAAAGATTGTGGAATAGTTTTCTGTGCTAGAAGTCAAGAAAGCTATCATAAGCTAATGTTGTTATGCCGAAAAATCACAGTGACAACTCTAAGGGGATCTTGATGCCAAAGATGTAATCATTTAAGAATCAAAAATAATAATTGTAATTAATTTTAATAATCATAAGTGGTAACTATTAATTACATATTTTATATCCACGTAGCTAAAAATAATTTTCAAAAATATAAAAAACTGAAAACGGTAAATCTTTTTATCATTGAGGATAGTGAGTACATTAGTTACTTTACTCAGAAGATCAGTAATGAAGAAAAAACATTAAATGTTTTCTTCTTTTTTTCTCTAAGAAGTGTATTTTAACTGACAGAATAACCTTGTTTGATAAAAAATTCTTTTTTATATGTGAATTCAAGTTAATATTAATACATATATTGGAAACACAGAAAGTCACCATTTTGCCACCACTACTTAATGATTGTATTAAGCAAGAATAATAAACTACTTAAGAAAAACATTTTTTTAAAAAGTTGATAGGGGGTGCTTACTCTCAAAGATCATAAGTTTCAGCCCAAGGATTATTTACTGATTTCAAGATGTAAACCAACACCAACCAACCAACAATGAGTTCACAATGGAGGGAACAAGCTGCCACTTCCTGAAATAACTGGTCAATCACTAATAATGTGACAGCCAGACACTATGTGTCTCATTGTGATGCAACATGCTACCTAGAAGACCACTTCAAAAATGATTCTTCCAGAATGCTAATGTAAATCTAATCAGCCTTTAGAATTTAAAGGCTTAAAAAAGACTAAAGAAAAGTAACAACCAAATGCAATATGTAGAACTTATATGGAGCCTGATTCGAACATCAAGTATAAAGAGATATTTTTGAGAAAATTGAGAAATTTTAAAACATGAAATTAGTATTATATGATATTGAAGACTGCTGCTTTTTCAAGACATGTCCTCAAATTTATTTTACATTCCTTCCATACTAACTCTTCTCCTTGCATGTAGACAGACTTGTGGCTGCTTTCAATGACTTCTGAAGTTAGGTCATTAAAAGTCATACATTCTTTGGCTAGTAATCTTGGGTTACTCACTCATGAGAGGCCAAGCTTTATCTAGGAAGTTCAACTACTCGAGACTGTCATGCTGGTGAGTATACACGTAGACACTCCATTCAACAGCCCAGATCATCCCACCTAAAGCAGGGTGCATATAAGTCAGTCTTGAATAATCTAGACTGGCTCATCACCAGGTGAGTACCATTGAGTAACCATAGAGAGCAAAAGAATCACTTAGTGGAGCACTGCCCAAATTTCTGACCCAGAGATTCATGAACATAACATGGCATTTGTTTCATAAGTATGAAATGGATGTTTTAATGGATAATAGATGACTGGAAAAATTAATTGTAAAATTTTTTGTAGGTGGGTAATGGTATTAGAGTTAGGAGAATGTATTTATTTGTGAGAAATACAAATAATGTATTTAGGAGTAAAATAATGCCTGGGATTTGTATGAAGCATATATGATTAAATAATTATAATTGTTGGATCTATGTAATGTGTATAGAATAATTTATTGTATTCTACTCTACTCTTTTTTTGTGTGAAGAGTTTCTTTTTTGTTGTTTGAAGGACTCACAGGGACATAAGTAAAGATTTCTGTTAGAAAATTAAAGTGAGTAGGGGAAGACTATGGCTTCTTGTAATTTTAATCCAAATCCTAGAAGAAAGCAAGAATTAACATAGGATTTGAAAAAAAGTTAAAAGATAGATTTGGGAAGAATAAAAGGTAGACTGAAAACTAGGAGATCAAAGAACCTTGACAGATATGATAAAATCACTTTGTACTGTAAATCTCTGTTTTATGTGGTGGTACCTCCCACCACTTTGTAAAATCATTTTGGGCAAGGACATTATCTTCACCTTTGTACTCCTAGAGGCCAGCATATTGCCTGGCATAATTTGGACACTCAGTAAATGTTACATAAAGGAAAAATAATGTTGGTGGAAATTGGAATTTTAGAAACTGTACATATTAGTTCAAAACCTCAATACTGAATCTATAGGGGAAGATCTACCGTGTGTAAATGTCTGTATTCAGGGCTCTGAGCACTGGCTTGTTGGCGTGGATACTATGGAGATTCCGGATATGGCATTCAAACTGTACAATGTGTAACTGGAAAGGAGAAATAGAGAGAGAAATAAACATGGGAAATTAAAGTAACCTCAGCTCTCATTTAAAACAAATACAAATATATTTAAGCATATAATAGCTTCTCAGCATGTTTTAAAAAAACAAATATTAAGAGATCATTTTAGCTCTCAGAATAAACATTGAAAGATGAATCATGATAATTATAGTCATCAACATTGACAATACCATTATTTATTGAATATCAGATGCTTTATAATCATTGTTGCTAAAATATACAACATCTTCTGTAAGGGGAAGTATTATTATTTTTATTTTACAGATAAGGAAATTAAAAGTCAGAGATTTAAGCATCTTGTGAAAAATATCACATGCAATAAATAGGTCTGAAATGTGATAGAACTACAGAGCTAACAACAATTAGCAAAAACCAAGTTAATATTATCTCTATTTCTCCATGAGAAAAATGAGATACAGAATCATGCAGTTTATAAGTGGCTAGGATATGAGGTCTGCCTAATTTGCAAATACTTGCCAATAAAGTCTAATGTGTAACCCTTTCTGTGTTACCAGATTGAAAGATACTAATTTAAATATACAGGCTCATAGTTGTAAATATTTATGAAAAAATCCTAGGAAAAGTGTGTCAGAGGAACTGATAGTACTTTCATACAAGGAAAAATAAAGGTTGTATAATGTAACGTGAAAGATGTTGGCTTTCCTGAACCTGCTATGGTAATAGCTGAAATTAATTTCTCAAAACTGCAAAATTTGGTAGAGCTTTTTGGAGGTTAAGAATGTCCCTATGAGAACAAGAGGAAATTAAAAAATATAAGAAAGATAATCAAGGGTAGAGAATCCCTTCTCACCTTTCCAGATGTCACAAAGTGGTGGTTCATGTTTAAAAAATGATATAAAGAAAATTCCCCAGGGAAGGAAGCAAGCCAACAGATTTAAAGAGCAAAATAGCTGCAGAAATGTTTAAAGGAGTACACAGACAGAAAACCATGGTGAAGACTTGGAAGTAGAAATCTATACAGAAATAACAGGTCTGTAAAGATAGTCAGAGTGATGAGAGAAGAGAGGATGCCAGACAAAAGTAAAAGCACTTCCCACAGACACCTGAGGTTCCACAAGGAAATTAGACAGAATAAAAAGCAAAAAAGGCGCAGGTTAAGTTGGCACTGAAGAAAAACAATGGCAACACTTGTGTTGTCTGAATAATGAAAGTGATATTTATAAAATAACTTGAGAAACAAGAAAGGAGAAGGAATCTGAGCTGATGCAGGGTGCCAACAAAAGAATAAGGAAGTGATTTATTGGAAACGATCACAGCTCTAGTAGTTAGGAACTCAAAGAAGAAAGTGCTTTAATGACATATTGCAGTCAAATTAAGCACATTCTTAGATATTAATTATGAAAATATTTGAAAATACTCATTACAATGGAATCTCTAGTTGGTTATTTTTTAAGAATTGAAAGATGTGTTTTAAAAGTTGGAAATCTATGAAAGTAGACATTGATTTCAAGATTTGTTGAAGCGGAGCATAGAAGACATGTGATAGGTGTTGTGGCAGGAGGGAAAAAATCTGTTGGCTTAGGAAGGCTAAAGAGACAGCATGCTGAAGTAGGAAAGTGGGAAGAACATTAATTTTATTTCAATGAAGCAAATGTTTGATCAGAAAAACAACAACACAAACAGTTTCTCTTCAAGACCATCTGTCTGAACATTGTTGAAATATGTGAAGACATTTCCCATCACCACCATCCGCAGCCCATACTCAGTGGTGGGAGAGAGTGTGTGAAGACTGTATACTTCGAGGTGCTGGATAAATAAGACAAAACTGCTTTTCCAGCTTCTCTGTGTGTGTATGATCTGAAAACTCTTTCTAAGAAGTTATTTTTTTATTATTATTATTTTGAGATAGGGTGTTTCTTTGTCACTCAGGCTGGAAGGCAGTGGTGCGACCCCCCAGGCTCAAGCAATCCTCATGCCTCAGCCTGTCGAGAAGCTGGGACTACAGATGCATGCCACAATACCTGGCTTTATTTATTTATTTATTTATTTATTTATTTATTTAGTTAGTTAGTTAGTTAGTTTTGAGATGGAGTCTCTCTCTGTCACCCAGGCTGGAGTGCAGTGGCGCGATCTTGGCTCACTGCAACCTCTGCTCCTGGGTTCAGTGATTCTGCTGCCTCAGGCTCCTGAGTAGCTGGGACTACAGGCATGAGCCACCATGCCTGGCTAATTTTTGTATTTTTAGAAGAAACGGGGTTTCACCATATTGGCCAGGCTGGTCTCAAACTTGTAACCTCAAATAATCCGCCTATCTCAACCTCCCAAAATGCTGGTATTACAGGTGTGAGCCACTGTGCCCTGACTTACTTTTTATTTTATTTTATTTTTTACTTTTTAATTTAAAATTTTTTTAATTAATTAATTTTTAGAGACAGGGTCTTAATATGTTGCCCTGACTATTCTCAACTCCTGTCCTTAAGTGATCCTCCCACCTTGGCCTCCCAAACTGTTGAGATTACCGGTGTGAGCCATCATAAACAGAAATAATTTATTTACTTATTTATTTTATTTTATTTATTTTCTTTTTTAGAGACAAGTTCTTTCTATGTTGCCCAGGCTTCCTTCAAACTCCTGGGCTCAAGCCATCCTCCTGCCTCAGCCTCAGTACCTGGGACCACATGCACATGCCACCATGCCTGGCTAAAGACATTTTATAAGGAGATTCTTAGAAACTTTCAGGGAAGTAAAATACAAAAATGAAAACAGGATGCTAACACTGAGTGTGAAATCAATTTTATTTCATGCAGATGACACCACTCTTTGAATTACAGGAAGAGCACAAGGATGTACATAAATATAACTAATGTTCTCCAGAGACCTGAAGAAGAACAATTAAACAGATCAAAGCAGGAAAATCATAAACATGGGCACCAGATGCAAAAGTGGCACTATGACATGTGGAATTCAGAAACGAGCTCAAGGAGAATTATTGGAGTGCACTTTATAAAGGAGACAATTATGCAAAATAAAATAAAATATGGAAAAGGAAAAGAAAAATAAGTGAAGAAACTAAGGGGAAAGCTGGTATTGGAAAATAACACTAGGCTGACTGTACGGCTTCCAGCGACAGCTTTTGTACCTTATTTCTATACGCTCACCTCACAGGTATGTGGCACTTCTGGCACTGGATTTTTCAGATTCCACTGGAAAAGTAGGAAGGAGTTAAAAGAGGGCTCATATACCTGACTGAGGAAGAACTACACAATTTACTATTGTGTTTCCATGTTTCAAAGTGAACTGTAACAATACACTGCTTTGGGAAATAAACTTCAAATTTTACCAGCTCATGTGAAGGAATGAGGGAGTGGGAGTGCTTTACTGAAGATAAAATATTTTTGAAGTAAGAAAAGGGCAAATTATGAAAAGGATATAGTGAAGTACATGACAGTGCAGAGTATAAAGCCTAAGACTTAAAAAGGAAAACTAGGAAAGGTATCACACTTAGAAATATCAAAGGCGATCTATATGTATAAAATAGAAATTGATGATATTGAGGATGAAGATGTTAAAAAAGGTTTTTAAACATCTAAAGGAAGTAGTGGAACTGGGTCAAGGTAAAGATGTCTTTTTGGAATGAAGCAAACTTCTGGCTAAAACACATATAAAGTTCTACCCAAGAGAAATAGGTACTGAAGAGACCAATAAACACATATTCACTGAATATAAAAGGCTTGGGAGTCAGATGGCTCAGGTTATACAAATTATAGTCATAATAATGGCATATGCTTACATGTATGCATACGCATGCATGTAAATATACATATATATGTTAGCGAACTGCATACATCTTCTTTCACATATTGAATTAGCCCATTTTCATGCTGCTGATAAAGACACACCCGAGCCTGGACAATTTAAAAAAGAAAGAGGTTTAATTGGACTTCCAGTTCCACATGGCTGGGTAGGCCTTACAATCACAGCAGAAGGCAAGGAGGCGCAAGTCACGTGTTACGTGGATGGTGGCAGGCAAAAAGAGAGGGCTGGTGCAAAGAAACTACCGTTTTTAAAACTATCAGATCTCGTGAGACCCAATCACTATCATGAGAACAGCACAGGAAAGACCCACCCCTATAATTCAATCATCTCCCACCAGGTCCCTCCCAGAATGCATGGGAATTATGGGAGCTACAAGACGAGATTTGGGTGGGGACACAGGCCAAACCATATCACATGTGTTGCTTGGTGTTTACACTAATCCTTCAGACTGGAAAGATAGTTAGTTTAATTTTCATTTTGCAGATGAAAACACTGAGTTTCCAAGAAATGTATCAACATTTCTAAGAAACAAAATAGCTATAATCCTCCACCTCACCAGCTTTGCCTAGTGCAGACTTAGCCTACCTATTCCCCAGGGAAAAGTAAATCTGGGAGTGTATTAACCCAGTAATCACACCTGAGTGATACTCTGGGGTTGTGTGTGCCCACAAAGCTGCAGCTCTTTCCTCTAACCTTTCCTAGATTGATGAGTCTTTATTTAGGCCTCAATCCCAGCTGTAATTTTCTCTCCAGTTCTGTGATGAGCCTAGATCCTGCTTAGCTGGGTGTCTGCTCACTTATCTAGGCATGGATGGCTTCTTATTTTTTGAGGGCTGGATCTTGTGCCTGTCTACAAACTCTTGTTTGAGGTTCTCTTTAACGCACACAGAGTGCTTAGAACAAAAACAGTGGAACACAACAGACAAGGAATACTGCTGCTCACCCAGTACTCTGCATATTTTCATAGGGCCTACATTTGCCATGCCCTCTTGAACATAGCACATACATTTCGGGTTGTTGTCCTTGAGAGAAAGACAGTTAATTCCCTTCCCCATAAATAGCCCATGAGTACAGTTTATTCTGTGCCTTGGTAAATAAATGTCATTTATACTACAAATATGAGACAGAGACAATTGTAGCAGCAGTGGAGGGAAGAAATGGACAAGCAACCATAGTAGAAGAACATGACTTGGGCACTTCATTGAGAGAGAAAGGTATAGAAAGAAAGTGACATGGTGGGAGCAAAGAATCCACAATAAAGCAGAAATGCTAAAACAATGCTACTCAAAGTGAGGTTAGTGGGACCATGCTTGTCTGCTGTTTGTTACAGGTTCATCAACTAGATAAGAAATTGAGAGTAAGTATTTAGAAATCAGTCAATCAAACTTAGATCGATTAAGTAAATGAGAAAAAGTAAACTCATTTGTTACATTTAAAACTTGAAAATCTAGGCAATACCATTCAGGACATAGACATGGGCAAAGATTTCATGAGGAAAATGCCAAAAGCAATTGCAACAAAAGTAGAAATTGACAAATGGGATCTAATTAAACTAAAGAGCTTCTGCACAGCAAAAAAAGCTATCATCAGCGTGAACAGAGGGCCTATGGAATGGGAGGAAATGTTTGAAATCTATCCATCTGACAAAGGTCTAATATCCAGAGTCTACAAGGAACTTAAACAAATTTACAAGAAAAAAAAACCAAACAACCCCATTAAAAAGTGGGCAAAGGACATGAAGAGACACTTCTCAAAAGAAGATATGCATGTGACCAACGAACACATGAAAAAAGGTCAACATCACTGATCATTAGAGAAATGCAAATCAAAACCACAATGTGATACTGTCTCATGCCAGTCAGAAAGGCGATTACTAAAAAGTCCAGAAACAACAGATGCTGGCAAGGTTGCGGAGAAAAAGGAATGCGTTTACACTGTTGGTAGGAGTGTAAGTTCGTTCAACCATTGTGGAAGACAGTGTGGCAATTCCTTAAAGATGTAGAAGCAGAAATACCATTTGACCCAGCAATCCCATAACTGGGTATATACCCAAAGGAATAGAAACTGTTCTATTATACACATAAATGCACATGCAGCTCTATTCACAATAGCAAAGACATGGAATCAACCCAAATGCCCATCAATGATAGACTAGATAAAGAAAATGTGGTACATATACACCATGGAATACTATGCAGTGATAAAAAGGAACTAGATCATGTCCTTTGCAGGGACATGGTTGGAGCTGGAAGCCATTATCCTCAGCAAAATAACACAGGAATGGAAAACCAAACACCACATGTTCTCACTTATAAGTGGAAACTGAAACATGAGAACATTATGGACATATGGGGGCGAACAACACACACCGGACTGTTGGGCATGTGGGTGATGGGAGAGCATCAAGAAGAATAGCTAATGGATGCTGGGCTAAATACCTAGGTGATGGGATGATCTGTGCAGCAAACCACCAAGGCACACGTTTACCTATGTAACAAAACCTGCACATTCTGCAATTGTACCCCTGAACCTAAAATAGAAGTTGAAGAAAAAAAGAAATTATATATGAATCTATAGGTGCTTGTTCAAAATGTGAACAATATGCAGACTTGTAACTCTTGGTTTAGTAAAAATAGGAATCACATTATGAGTATAATAATGATTATTTCAATGAACAAAGTTTACAAACTTTATAATTGTTTTCTTTTTCCTAATGTTTCATATGATATTTACGGGGATGAATTTTGTGGTTTTAAATGCAATAGAAAAAGTTTGGGTTTGTATTTGGTATGTCTTTTTTAATATTCCTTTTTCTTTTTCTTTTTTTTTTTTTTTTTTTGAGACGGAGTTTCGCTCTTGTCGCCCAGGCTGGAGTGCATTGGCACGATCTCTGCTCACCACACCCTCCAGCTCCCGGGTTCAAGCAATTCTCCTGCCTCAGCCTCCCAAGTAGCTCAGATTACAGGCATGTGCCACCACACCTGGCTAATTTTGTATTTTTAGTAGAGACGAGGTTTATCCAGGTTGGTCAAGCTGGTCTCGAACTCCCGACCTCAAGTGATCTGCCTGCCTTGGCTTCCCAAAGTGCTGGGATTACAGGCGTGAGCCACTGCGCCCAGCCTAATACTCCTTTTTCTAATGATTAATTCTTATTATATTTTATGGAATTATTGATCTGCAATTGAATATAAATCTATAAATAAAACAAACTTGTTCTTTACCACTGTATTGGGAGGCACTGAATTAGAATACAGATCTTGTAGGAGGAGGATTAATAAGAGAAGTAACTTACATTGTAAAAAGAAAATAAGTCAGCTGGACACAGTGGTGTGAGTCTGTAATGCCAGCTACTTGGAAGGCTGGGACAGGAGGATCATTTGAGCACAGGAGTTCTAGGCAAGCCTGGGCAACATAGTGAGACCCTGTCTCTAATAAATGAACAAACAAACAGATGATAGATAGATAGATAGATAGGTCAGTAATAAGAAAAATGATGAAACTGGAGGGTATGAAATTTACAGCAGTAGATAATTTTTAACCTGTTTATAGAAGTATAATATACATATAATGTTCAAAATATTTTTATGAGATGACAATGAGATATTTTATAGCAGGTCCAACTTATAGTAGGCATCTATTTTCTATATCACACCATTGCTGACGTTATGGCAAACATCACAAGAAATGTGGAACAATGAGATCATCTGTGTTTTTAGAAGTGAATAAAAGGAAGGGGCTATCATACACAGATCAGAGGGTTTAAAACCTATGCATTTATTTTTCATTTAGTTATTTCATCACTCTTTTATTAATTCATGAATTCATTCAACAAATAATTTATATATTTAGTAATATTATATCTACTTATAAAAATTATCCATCACATTTATAGGTTTAGATGAAATAAAGAAAAACCCAAAAAAGAATCAAATTTCCAATACCTCAGAGACAAATTGTGTTAATGTTTTTGTGAACCTTATTGCAGTTTTCTACACACAAACACACACACACACAAATATTGGTATATTATAATTTAAGAGCCTTTGCCAATTTATAGATCATGAACAATTTCCTGGTCATTCAATCATCCTCTATAATGCCATTTTAGTGGCTGCATATTTTTTTCAAAGGATATGTGTGTGTTGTCTGGCATATGCATAAGTAATCTGATCATTTTTTTCTTTGTTGGGTATTTACATCACTGACAATATATCATTATTTTGAAAATGCTGCACTAAGTATACTTGAGGTGAATATGAACATATCTGCAAATATTTCTTCAAATTAATTTCTGGAAGTCTAGATTAGTATTTTGCACAGTTAGGGGGTTTCTAGTATGTATTTCTATTTCTAATGCTAAATTGTGCTTGAGAAAAAAGTTTGAAACATTTTTTTCCTGCTTAGCTGTTATAAATGAGTGTCCATTTCTTCATACACTTGTGAACAATGGGCACTATTACATTGATTTATACAAGAACAAAACAAAGACCAAAATTCAAGGAGAATGCGTGTGCATACTTTTCAATCATATTCTCACTGGCACTTTTCTCTCTCTCTCGGCATATTAGCTGCTATGTTCCGGGTACTGGGCTCTGGTCTTTTGGTGACTCCTGGCCACTAGACTTTTCTGCAGTTGTCCTGGGGATTGAACAGAAGGTATTTCTGGGAAGAAAACGCTGGGGTTGAGGATGAGAGTGCAAGATCCTGCAGGTAGAGATGACCTAGGAGAAAGGCTGGTGGAAAAGTCTGAGGAGGTGACAAGTTTGGAAGATCACCGGCAGAGGTCAGAAACTGAGAGTTTGTAGTTGCTAGAAAGCCTTCTGTAGAAAAAGGAATTAGATGAGGAATAAGCACTTGCAGAGAAGTGGTCCTGAAGGCAGCAATACTGAAAACAGGTTTCCTAGCAGAACTCCTTGAACTTGGAGGTAACTAGGGCAAGAAAACAAGTTCTGCATCTACTTGTGTATTGTTATTTATAACATGGAGCAGTGCTCGGAATTTTACCAAGAGAAAATCTACTGTGGCCAACATGTACCTTATTTTCCAGTATAAATGAACAGAAATGGTGTGGGGATATTAATCAATCACATATTAATGCAAATAAATGTGTGCCTGTTGCTTTTTTCCCCCTAAGAGACATAAAATAATTTAGTCTTAAAAAAGAGAAATTGTAATTTGGTCTGGGTTTACAATTCTTTGGAAGGTGGATTACATTGGATTATCAGAGTTCCTCTTTCTCGGTCCCAAAGTAGAGACCTGAGGAAATATATTGGACATAGGGGAAGGAAAACACGCACACACACACAAACACACTTCCATTTTCTAACCACTTTCTTTGCCAGTAGCTGTAGTTGTTTTGAGAAATAATTTCTTAAAGTGAGTATCTTTCTAAAACGGGTTAAAAATGAAGGAATGATGCTGGAGGGGAATGACAAAGATGAATAATTATTTGAGAGGGGGGGCTTTTGGCATTGTAAGTAGACACATGCAATGCAGGGAAGGTAAAATTTTCAATGTCCTTTTGGAAAGAAAATTTTTCATTTTATGATGTTTCCTTCACTGTGATCCTTATCCTTCCCTAAAGGCTAAACCTATAAATAGATTCACAGGATGGTAGTTTCTGCACCAGCATCAAACTAAGTTTGGGTTCTTTGTAATCATTTCAGAACCATTGGTTATGATCCTCTCTATGTGTATGTGCATGTGTATCTGTCTGTGTGCTAGAGAGAGAGAGAAAGCAACAGAAAGAGACAGGGAGATGGAGATGGAAAGAATGAGATTGTTTTGTTTATAAACTTGGAAGCAGTGTGTCTCTGGGCCCTAATTTTTTAGTTGTTTTTTTTTTCTTTGCCATATCACATTATTTAATTGCTTCTTTTTTGTCTGTGATACCTATAATACATGCCAACATATCTATTAACACTTACTCATTTTTAAAGGTGACAAAGTTACTAAATGTGCAAGGCCTCATAGCTTAGATAGCAGCTGGCTTGTACTGCATCCAGCAAATGGACCTACACACCTGTGAGTACTTAATAGACTTCTTTCCCCCTAGATTTAAAAGTCATTCCATACTAAAATATTTGGTATTGGAAACTCATTTTAAGGTGACCACTGAAAATTATGGAATCTATATGCATCACCTTCTGAATAAAATAAGCCAGGATGTTTTATCATTTCTGTTAAAGTGGAAATCCCTAAGAAATAAAAATTTTAAGATTTCTGTCTGTAAAATTGATTCATTGAAATTCTGAGGCTGAGTTTGCATGATTTAATTTCTTTATAGATACACAAATAGATATTTATAATGATCCTCCTCTTTCAGCTTCCCTATTTAAGGGAGAAAAGTTTCCAGACAAGCGTGTAAGCATATTGGTCAATCTGGCTTGATTGCTTTCCTCCAGCAATGGGCAGTTTTAATTTCCTATCACATTTATAGTCATTATGTTTGAGAAAGGGCAAAAGAGGTTAATGAAATCATTATAATTTCATTCAAATGATATATATTTTAAAAGCTCAATTAAAGAAACAGATACCAGGGTACCACATTTTATTTACCTTATGGAGACCATCGCTCTGTAGCACCTGTAAAGATACTGAAGAAACACATTTCCCAATGCTAAAATGAATGTGAAGTCATTACCATCACTGAACATATCTATAAAGTAAGTTTATTATGAAGATAAATGATGTTTAATTGAAAATGCATTGTTTCCTTATTTATTTAATGCATTTTTAATCAAATTCCTGACAGTTTTAAGGTAACATAACAAATTGGTTACTAAGGAATACTGCAATTTGACTGAAATATTACAAGTTACTTGGTTTTGAACAAACTAATAAACCTCTTTAATCAGTGCTTTCTTCATCTGTAAAGTGAACATAATGATATTACTAGCCCCAACATGATGGGGCAAATGACATAAGTAACATAAAATCACACTGACTGACATCTATAATAAGACGTTAATACATTTTCTCTATTATCATTATTACTATTGTTACTACTATTATTATGTCATATCCTTTAGAAATATGGAACATTCTGGGAGGCCGAGGTGGGCGGATCACGAGGTCAGGAGATTGAGACCATCCTGGCTAACACGGTGAAACCCCGTCTCTACTAAAAATACAAAAAAATTAGCCGGGCGTGGCGGCGGGCGCCTGTAGTCCCAGCTACTTGGGAGGCTGAGGCAGGAGAATGGTGCGAACCCGGGAGGCAGATTTTGCAGAGAGCCGAGATCGTGCCACTGCACTCCAGCCTGGGCGACAGAGCAAGACTCCGTCTCAAAACAAAAAACAAACAAACAAATATGGAGCATTCTGATATGAATAAGACACTTGCTCACTTCTCAATTCCTTGGTGTCCAGGTGGGAAAGCAGATAAGATTATGTTAACATTGTACCAATCTGATCTGGTCTAAACATTTTATCTATATTAACTCATTTATACTGTCAATAATTATGTTAGGTAGGTTTCATGAGTATTCCTGTTGTACAAATGAGGAAATAGTGGCTTCATAGGATAAACGGTTGCTCATAGTTACATGGCTAGCTAGAGTTTTGCTGGGATGTGACTCCAGGCAGTTTTGTTCCAGAGTCATTATTTTTTTCTTTTCTACAGCTCTACAAGTGTATATAGACTTCCAAAGAATATTTAAATCCTTTAACAAAAATGCCACCTAAGAAAATATGAAATACTTCAGTCTGTCTGTCAGTGCTCACTTCCTGTCTAGAAACTTTCAGGTGAGGAACACAATTCTGGAAATGGTTGTCCTCAACCATGTTCAATTCTTTTCCCCCAGTAATAATTCAGGCATGAGGACACCTTCCTGTGTGTGCAAAACCTCTCATATTTTTCAGTGTGGTAAGCAATTTCTTCACCTTGAACAATCATTCTGGTATTCTTTTCCCAGGAGAAGCAAAATTATTGACAGCATTCAGCTATCATCTTTTCACAAAACACTATTTCTCTTTTAGGCTCCGGCACAAATGAACCATGTTCTTCGCCTAAGTCATTTATGGAACATCTGCTTTCGGTTTAGCATCAGGTAAGATAATAAGAGAAATTCAGTGCTACTATCACTGCTTTCAGGAAGCTTACAACCTTTTAAACAAATATGCAACCATAGCGTATGGCCCTTTTATGGAATTTTGGAAGATGACTAATGTCTGTATACAAAAATGTACATATATATGTACATGTATGTACATACACACAATTGTAATATTTGGTTATACATATAGTAAAGAATGCTACCTTTTTTAAAATTGTTTTCTGCCTTCCAGTCAATGATAAGAATCCAGACATATTCATTTAAATAGGGGGAGAGGGACACTTATAATTCTTATTTCATCTTTACAGATACAATGTATTTCTTTGGAATTGACAGGGGAAACAAAGCAAAGAAGAATGACACTGAAGAATCAAAAAAAAAAATGAGCATAAGACCCATGAAGATTACAGACACATACACTCCTAAAATTAAACATTAAGCGGAATAAAAATAATCCCAGATTATATGGTCTGACATGCCAGAAGAAATAAAAACCTAAGGAATTAGTTAAAATCTGTGCAAAAAAAAAAAAAAAAAAAAAAAAAAAAAAACACTATGACTAGAAAAAGCACTATTACTAGTAAAAATAATGATAATGAATTCTGGTGTCTAAAATATTGAACTAAATAGTTAACAATAGCATATACATTAAGAGAGAGTGATTGGGATTTACAGGTTCTTAATCCTGCTAATGTCAGGAATAAGGTAGAGATAATGTTAGCAGAGATTTTGATAAATATGTATATTAAAATCTGTAGGGTAATCACTGAAACCAAAATGGTGGATATAATTTATCAAATAATAGCAAACAAATCAAGTGAAAAATTACCAAATTAAGGCTGGGCACGGTGGCTTACACCTGTAATCCCAACAATTTGGGAGGCTGAGGTGGGTGGATCACCTGAGGTCAGGAGTTTGGGACCCAGCCTGGCCAACATGGTGAAACACCATCTCTACTAAAAATACAAAAATTAGCCAGGGGTGGTGGTTGGTGCCTGTAATCCCATCTACTCAGGCAACTGAGGCAGGAGAATCACTTGAACCCAGGAGGCAGAGGTTGCAGTGAGCCAAGATGGCGCCTCTGCACTCCAGCCTGGGAGACAAGAGTGAAACTCTATCTCAAAAAAAAAAAAAATTAATTAATTAATTCATAAAAGGCTAGAGAGCATGAAAAACAAAAGAGAAAAAAATAGCATTCAGCTATCAGAAGTCTGGGTCTAAAGGAAATAAATCTGTTAAATCCAGTAGTCAGACTCCTTAAACTTTGGCCTGCCTCTCCCAGATGAGATTATACCAAAACCAACCTAATTATTACTAAATTATTTGATCAATTTGGAATTGAAAGGATGAGGAAGAAAACACAACTAAAAGGAATTGTACACCCAACATTATACACTAAGTCAATTCCAGTTTGGGATAAAGAAAAATCTAAAAAATGAAAGTATACAACTTTTAGAAGTCATTTCATGGGGATATATTTATAATTTAAAGACAGCAAAAAAAAAAAAAAAAACATTGACACAAAACAAACAAAAAAGAAAACCTCTACTATATGAGTATATAAATTAAAAGTTATTGTTTATCAAGGACCATAAAAAACAAAAACAAGAATCTCAAATTGTGAGAAATTATTTTCAGTGCATAAAAATGACAAGTGAATATTATTCAGCATGTATAACAAAAGCTTCACAACTACTAAAGGAAAGAAAAAATTATAAAACACAAAGACTCAAACTGCAGTTAACAGAAGGGGAAATTTGAATTTTTATCAAAAAACTAAAAATTACACTCAAATGTAATAGCAATATGAAAATACAAATTAAAATCATAATGTGGCACCATTTTACATGTAACCACATTGTTATAAAAATTCATAGCCTTCAAATATCAAATAGTGGTGATGTGAAATGACAGATCTTTCATATATTGCTCACAGGAGGGACTCCAAATAAGTACAAACACTTTGGAAAATTACTGATATTACCTTTAAAAGTTAATAACATATAGGCACAAGGACTAGAAATTCTAATCTTCAATCTTTATCTGGAAGAACCTCATGTATATGTATTCCAAGACATACGTATTTTCATAGAAGTATGTATCAGCCCATTCTTACACTGTTATAAAAAGAAATATCTCAGTATGGGTAATTTATAAAGAGGTTTCATTGGCTCACAGTTCCACACGCTGTACAGAAAGCATGATGCTGGCATCTGCTCAGCTTTTTGGGGGGCCTCAGGAAACACAATCATGGTGGAAGGTGAAGAAACGAGAGGCAAACACGTTTTATATGGCTGGGGCAGGAACAAGGAGGGGGGAAGGTGCTACACATTTTTAAACAACCAGATCTCGTGAGAGCTCATTCACTATCATGAGAACAGCACAAAGGGGGAAATCCTCTCCCATTATCCAGTCATCTCCCACCAGGTCCCACCTCCAACCCTGGGGATTCCAATTTGACATAAGATTTGGGCAGAGGCACAAATCCAAACCATATCAGAGTACTTTTTGCAATAGCAAAAAAATCCAAGAAAAATCTTAAATGTCCATCAGCAGTAGAATAAACAAATAAATTGTGTTACAACCATACGATATAATACTCTATAGCAATATAGATGAAGACCTCAGCTACTTGTAATAACATTGAGGAGAGAACCTAAAGTTTAAGAACCTTAAGTGGAGCTAAAAAAGCAAATTTCAGGTAAATATATACAATTTATTTTGTTTTAATAAATATTAAAGCATGGGAAATAAATGATTAGTTGTTTAAAAACTTAAAATGAATAATAACATTTTTCTAAAGCAAATAAAAAATACATCCAAAATTTAAAATAGATGTTACCCATGAAGGGGAAAATGAAGACATAAGAGGAGGAGGATGAGAAGAAAGATGTTAAAAGCCATGAGACCGATCTTTCTCGTAAACCAAGTAGTTTACATGTAGAAGTTTATTAGTATTCTTTGTACTTTGTACCTCATTTTTTAATAAATATGGCTTAAATAATACAAATTCACTTTAAAAATGACTGTTTTCATGTGACTAAAAAAAGAATATAAAAAATGCCCTAAATGAAAAAGAAAATCTTTATATTTCAAGATTTAATATATTTTAATGTAAAACATTATAAAATATAATTAAATTTATATATTTAATTTATACAGATTGTCAGTTCAACTACATTGATTGCCAAAATGCTACATATCTATGAGAATGTATATATTTATTTGAAAGTTAATTTATGCAAGTTCTGATAATGCATTTTTTATTACATCTGTGTGCAAAAAGGAACTGCTACCCTCTTTAGATTTTAGCTTAAGAAATAAACATTTTAGATAATGCCTAGCTTGAATCTGATTAACATGGTTTTCAAAGACGTTCTGCCTCATTCCATGTCAACATTTCTAATACAGAAATTCTCATAATTTGTATACAATTTAATATAATGCCCACTCTCAGAATTCTGAAATATCCAAGGCCAGAGCAATAATTTAAATTACTACTGCTATAGCAACTGATTCGCTTTCTGACTGAACCCCAGAGCTGGGTGAAATCCCACTTGTAGACTTCATTTTCTCTAGTATTTCTCTACAAATGAATTAGTCTCAGTTTGAAATTTCTGTCTTTCTCTCTGGTTATAACTCCATGAGGATAGGCTCTTTGTTGTTCTATTCACCCAGGGTCTAGCACAGTGTCTGATAAGTAGTAGATATTTGAGAACTGTTTATTAAATGAAGAAATAGATCATTGATCACAAGTTAGTGTACAGAAAAAAGGCAAAGATAAAGGACAACATTTCAAAAGTCAAATAAAGCACTAATTATTTCTACTATTTAATGCTTAGGTGCCCACATGCTTTCAATAAGACTCATATATTTTGATTAAATTGAATTTTATTTTTTATTTGATAGTATATTTACATGAGTCAAATCTCAGTAAAAAATATATATTTAGAAAACTTGATTGTGCCCATTTCCTTCTCTACCAAATTTCTCCCCTTCTATTCCCTAAAATGATTTCTTTCCTAATGCATAAGAGAGTCTTCCAGTGTTTCATGAAACCAATATGAAAATATACTTATTACCTCCCTTTAGATACATAAAATTAGATATTCTATTTATACTCTTCCACTCCTTGCTTTCATCTCTTAAAAATATACCCTGGACATGGTGTGCACCTATAGTCCCAATTGCTGGGGGACTGGGGCAGGAGGATAGCTTGAGCCCAGGAGTTCAAGGCTATAGTGTGCCTGTGAATGGTCACTATACCTCAACCTGGACAATATGCTCTGGAGATTGCTCCATATTGGCACAGTGAAAGCTACCTTAATCATTTTTATAAATACATATCATTCCATTGTGTGAATTTACAGTATCTAATTGAATTCATCCCCTTGTGTTTTTTCCATTGTTATACTCTAAACAATGCTCTGGTGATGTGCAACCTTGTCCACACATCATTTTTGACGTGTGCAGGCATGTCTAGATGATAAGCTCCCAGAGGTGGAATTGCTGAGCCAAAGGGTATATGCATTAGTAATTTGAATGATACCACTCCACAGCAATTTTACTATTTTGTGTTTCCACAGTGTGCTATTAATCCAGGTCTTCCAAGAAACAAATGCCAAGATGGTATTAAACATGAAATGATTTTAATTGTTTACATGCCTGAAAGTAAATAAAGAGGGTGCCAGCTAAGGCTGAAAAAGTCTTCAGTGATATAAATTTTACCACACTTAAAGAGAGAGAGGAAAAGTTTAAGTGGAAGCTCCTACTCAGCCATGCTGTCTAAGGAAGATTTGGCAAAACCTTGAGCTAAAGTCAGCCAACGGAAATCCCACCTTTCTCCAAAGAATGGATCTGCTTTACTATCTTGCTTGGTCTTATTGGTAGGAAGCAGCCAGGGGAACTCAAAGAGCAGCAGCAATATAATGCGGCTGGGTTCTTCCTAGTTGGAAGTTTGCTCTGTGTGTAAGACAAAGGCAAATATAAAATCAAAGGCCTAATTCTTCCTGTTGAAAATGGGAGAAGAGGTTTCCCTCCTCTACTTTTTCTTTTACAACATTATCTTCTTAGATTGCTTTTAATTATAAATATTTTCCAATTTATTTGAAATGTATACAAATATTTTCAAAGACTATATTGACTTTTTTTTCAGCTTTGTGACCTAGTAATATCTTTCTCGAGTGCATGAAACATCTCAGAAATGCAAACATCAAGGAAGATACTAATCCTTTCTTCCAGTTTCTGTGTGAGGGTTGGAGGCTGACTTTGGTGGTGATCTTGCTCCAAATTATAGAACTACATCCTGTCATGAAGAGAAGTTTGTCTTCTCGATAAAGCCAAGTAGCTAACAGAGATGGTCACCCCAATTACCAGGTAAAGTTAGTATGAATAATGTGTGACAAATGGTGTTGTCAAGTCCTCTTACTTGAAGACTAGTTATTGTTTATCTGGAAAACATGTCTGTAATTGGTTGTATCTTCTTGGATCTTTAAGAGGGTGAAATTTGTTTCTGTCTTTGCAATCACTTAGTGGACTGCCTGTGATGCACATCACATTCTGTTTTAATGCATTCTCAATAGCAAAAGCGTTTTCTTTGTCTACTACCTTTGTGGAGTAGATTTCTGGGTTGAGAGATTTGACTTTCAATTATATTTCCTCAATAGATAACACAGGCAGGTATTGGTGTCAATTTACCTACAGAATCATGAAAGCGCGTTGTCAAACTTTTCACTTAACTTTTCTAAGTGCTCAGTTTTCCTTCCATTAGATGGACATAATTATACTTGAATGCTGACCTACAACATTTTGTGCTGTGCAGAGGCTTTGAAAATCAAACAACTTTGAAAATACAAAGCACCGCGTGGATGTAAGTTTATTAAATTTTGTTTTCATCAACATTCAATTGAGGGTATCACTTCAGAAACATTATAAGATTTATTATTATCAATGCTTAGAATAGCATGAATATACTGGAGAGATTTATATATGATAAGTTTAGCACACTATGTTTACAACATACCCAAAAAAAGCACACTTGTTAGCACTTCAATTTAACATGAATGGAATTTGCATGAATAGATCGGGGGAAGCATTGAGTCCCTAGTAGCAGAGAAATACCAGGAAAAATACTAGTGATTTTGAGCAGCAAAAGGGCTTTGCCTGAATTAATAAATAAGCTATCTGGTGATGGTAATTATAGCATTGCTCTCTACCTTTGTATGACACAAATATATCTGGGAAGAGCAAATAGACATGAGTTGGGGAAACAGACTATTAATATAAAGTATCATGTAACAGATCTTAGTTGAAGCATTGCATTCACTTTAAATAGGGCAAGTAGAAAATTATGAATTTTATAACTCTAAAACCTTTTACTTTGCCCATTTGCCAAGTCCCAGTTTTCACATAAAACATTTTTCTTCTTGTTGAATTTACTTTCTTCACTTTGTTACGCTTAAACCAGCTTTGATGAAAACTATTTCCTATGATGTGACATAGGAGCTCTAGCAGAAGCTTGTTCACTTGTATGTAATATGAGCATTGCGCCGAGCAAACACCATTTAGATACTACCATTATTATAAGGCTCATTTAGATACTACCACTATTAGGCTCAGCAATCAAACAAACATTTACCTAGAGTAGAGGCACTAAAATGCATATTCACAATGGAAAATTCTCCATTCGAATTAACGCACACCTTAAAGACCAAACCTGGCACTGCATTCTATATATCTAGACTGAGATATGTGCCATTATCTTTATGCCTTTCCTGTTGTGTGTTTCCCTAGGGGCACATTTACCTGTTCTGCATTCTATCTTTGTTACTTTTTTTGACCTTTTCTTGCTTTCATTTTGCTTCTTTTGACTTACAAATCCCTTTCAATCTATAGTAAATGCAATGGATAAATAGCACAATTTTAACTTCTCACCCCTTTATTTTAAATACACCCTTTCTGCAAACTGTGGTAGTATTTATAGCAACACACCAATATTCTACTTTTCTAGGAGATGGCAGTCAATACTTTTGAAATTTTTAATCTTTTCCCATTCTACACAAAGGAAAACTACTTTGTTTTCCATTGAGTAGGAAAAATTCAAATGATAAGCATGTATATACAAACTTCTAAGACACTGAAATCTCATTTACTGTTAAAAATGGGGGTGTGGTGTTAATCATTTGTATTAATCGAGACTATTGAAACATTTTAACTATTATATGTGTAAAGGTTTCTTTGATTTCTAAAGAAATGCATTTCTAAAAGTCTTATGCTGTAAGGATGCTGGATGCGTAGTTTGACCAATTATGGCTCTTGATGTCGACTGAAGTGGTCACTTGATTCCTATTAGCGTAAGTATCTGTCTGTAAAGACACTTTGTAAAGGAAAGCCTTAATTTGAAAACAACAACACAATAATGATGAATATCTGTCTAATATAGAAATCTGCACATCAGAAAAAAAAAGCTATATATGTATCTGTTGATTTAGGAGGATCTTATAAAATGAACCACTTAATTCCAATTGTATTCCAATTCCTTCTTCCCTAAGAGAATGTTGAAAACATGACACTTACTGGTAAGTGACAGGTCTCCTCTCTGTCTTGGTTTAGATTCTATGCTTTTCATACAAGAGCTGAAGCATTCCTCATCTGGAGAAACAGGATCTCTTGTGATGAGGCTTTTTTGTATCACAGATCATATTTCACACTTCTTGTTTGTCAAATCTTTTTCACAGTTTATAATGCTCAAGCTTTATATTTTTAAAAATATTATGAGCACTTCTTACTTGACTTTTTTTTCAGTTGGAAAGACATTTTAATCTTTCCTTTTTTTTTTTTTTTTTTTTTTTGAGACGAAGTCTCGCTCTGTCACCCAGGCTGGAATGAAGTGGTGCAATCTCAGCTCACTGCAGCCTCCGCATCCTGGGCTCAAGTGATTCTCCCGCCTCAGCCTCCCGAGTAGCTGGGACTACAGGCATGCGCCACCAGGCTGAGCTAATTTTTGTATTTTTAGTAGAGACGGGGTTTCACCATGTTGGCCAGGATGGTCTCAATATTTTGACCTTGTGATCCGCCTCTCTCAGGATCCCAAAGTGCTGACATTATAGGCGTCAGCCGCTGCGCACTGCCAGAAAGACATATCTACATACTGCTTCCTCTCTCGTCATGGTGAGCAAACCGCAGGCAGGAAGTCAGAGTTTGACGTTGCTCCTCCTGAGGAGGGGAGAGCTGGAGTTCAGGAAGCCTCTTTATATCTAATGCTGCTTTCTGATTCTGTGCCTTGGTATTAGGAACTTGATTCAGCCCAATATATATTATTTAATAGCAATTCTATTTGGTCTCCATATGACAATGACTTTGCTTTATATCTCAACTAGTTCAGTGTTTGGGTTTAATTATTGTCAGAGGCAATATCATGAGTACACCCTAAAGGTACTGGCTCAATACATTTGCTGCATTCCCATTTAATACAACATGCTCGAAAAGTGCTTACTGCCAGTTACTTAATACAAGTAATATACAATCTAATATTTTACAGTCCAAAAAAATTGTTTAACTCCTCTTAATTTCATTTATGGGGGACCCATTCTGTTTAGATTACTGTGTAAATAATTTGATAATAAGTCAACAAATTTTTAGCTTTGGTTTTGTTTTTATTTTGAGACAGGGCCTCACTCTGTCGCTCAGGCTGGAGTGGCACGATCTTGGCTCACTGCAGTCTCTGCCTCCTCCTCTTGGATGCAAGCAATTCGGCCTCCAAGTAGCTGAGATTACAGGTGCGTGCCACCACACTCTGCTAATTTCTGCATTTTTAGTAGAGATGGGGTTTCACCATGTTGGCCAGACTGGTCTCCAACTCCTGGCCTCAAGTGATCCACTTGCCTCAGCCACCCAAAGTTCTGGATTACAGGCGTGAGCCATTGCGCCTGGCCTAGTAAACATATTTTTTTTAAATAAAAATGTTATTTTATCATTTACATAAGATCAAAAACATGTCTATTGGATTCCACCGCCCAGATCCTTACACTGTACATTCTATTTTGCCTCAAATTTGACTCTCTTCACTTGCTTTTAAGCTCTGGATGAGTTTGATTCCAACTAGTTCAAAAGAAAAATGGAGCATCCCAAAAGAACATAAAACTAATAAAAATCAACTTGTTTATGAATCTAAAATGATAAAAAGCAATACATTTAAAATAAAGGTTACTTTTAAAACATGATTTCATGTCTCAATTTTTCCAACTACTTGGAGATTCTTCTAGTATTAGCATGCCATTATTATTAGGCTTGACTGCCTACTGTGAACCACTGTGAAGCCCACAGAAGAATCTCACTACAGGCAAATGCAAATGCTGAGATTTTAATGACTGTTAAGTAAATTTGAACTTAAAAATAAACAACAGGCTTAACAGAGGCTTAATTATTGTCAGATGCAGTATTAAAAAAAAACAAAACAACAGAATTTATTTACCTACCTGTCATGAAAATATATTTCTTCTGGGAGGAAAATCTTATTTGTATTTTAAAATATGAGACCTGCCTGGCAAGCAGGTACTTCTCTGTTTAATTATTGATTACTTTCCTTTAGATATAAGATCCGTCTTGTAGATGGGATAAAATTAGACCATCAAACTACAAAAATGTAACATTCAGATATACTCCTCTTTGTCATACACATTCATGTGTCCAGCTTCTTCTGACACTTAATTTAAAATATTGGTTGATTTAGAACCTTATTTTTGTCTTTATTCTATTTGCTTTTGTTTTTTACTTATTCCTAATCTTGTTAGCTTGCTTTTTTAGAACTGAAGCTGCTGGATTTTTACTGATTATAATTTCATATTGATGTGTCTTGAGTACATGTACAAATACATAAACACATGAAAGAGCATAAATACCTTGTTTCACATTACTGTTTGATCGGTCTCTCTATCTATTTATCTATCTATCCATCCGTCTAGCTATGTATATTGTCATGTGTATAAGTGTCTATGTATCTGTCATCTATGTATCTAGACATGTAGATATGTATATAGGTATCTATGTATGTGTGTATAAATGCATCTGTGTATCTATGTCTCTGTCTACTATCTGACTTGCTAGCTGTGCATGCATGTATGTACCTGTCTATGTCTGTATCTATCTACCTATCATCTTTCTAAATTATAATTGGCAAGAAAGACATTGAATTGGCAGAAAATCTTAGAAATTATTTCTCTCAATTTCATCAGTTTACAAATGAGGAAAATGAGGCACAAAGATATTAATAAAACAGATGGTTTGTGATGTAATTACAGCCAAATGGAAGGTTTCCCAATTCTAAGGATATGAAATCCTTACATTTTTATCTTCTGCATAATGACCTCTGATGTCCAAATCAGAAGTTGCTTACCATACTGGTGAGCATTATTTCCACGTAGCGCTAGGCAAAGCCAGAAGTTAGAGAAGATCTCTCACTGCTGTAGTGTGCTAGGTATCTTTATTAGACCTTTCATCCATACTTTCCTTACCATTTTCTTTTAAGAAAATCCTCTTTTAAACATTTATTATAAAATACATACACAAAAGTGAACACATTATAATCATTCAGCTTGGTGAATATTTGCAAAGTGAATATACCTGCATAGTCACCACTCAAATCAAGATATGGAAGATTATCACCACTTTTAATTTTATATAACTTAACATATGCTATGTTATATAAATGAATGTCATATAAATTAAAAAATACTTTTTTTCATGTTTGACTTTTTTCACTAAGCATTGTGATTTTATCCATATTATTGGATGTTTGTTTTAATTTCATCATATATATATGCCACAGTTTACTCACTGATCCTACTGTTGGTGGATATTTGGGTTATTTCTGCTTTTGACTTTCGTAAATAGTATTGTTATCAGTATCCTGTACAAACCATTTCTACACAAAATAATACATTTCTCTATATATTGTTTGTTCTTAGGTTGTACCAGTTTGGGTAGAATATAACAGTCATATATCAATTGGCACTCTGAAAAGTAATATATGACAGTTTAGACTGCTTGATTTCTTCACCAGTATCTGGTCATATCAGTTTTTTATTTTTCCTTCACTGTTTTTGGGTTTTTTTTTAAGCCATTCTAATGGTGTATGTTAAAATATTATATTCTTTAAAATTTTTATTTCCCTGAAGACTATGTTGAATGCCCTTTCATTTTATATGCATATATATATGTATGTATATGTGTGTATATATATATATATACTTAACACTATCGAGATCTATTCTATGTTACTGTCTATCCAGATGTAGGTCCCTCCAGAATGCTCTATATAGCATGAATTTATATAACATAACGTGTTAAGTTATGTAATGTAACAGTGTTTTGAGTGATGATTATGCAGTGGTGGGCTCTATGTTGTACTGACTATACCAACAGACTCTCTTGTCTTCTGGGTTCCATCATTGAGGACCATTGACAGGGAATAAAAGGAAGGAAAGGAGATAGTTAAATCAACATTTCTTCTCTCTACTCCTATGGTTGGCTCATGATGTCCTGAACTTCCACTGATCTTTGGCATTACTACAAATGCCACTACTTCTGCTGCAGTAGTCTGACCTACCTCATCTTCTGCAAGCAGATTTGCCTCACGGCCCTCTGTCTCTAGTTTCCGGGTCACTGTTATCTCTCTCCCTCCAAATACCTAGAGTTGTTATGGGAGCCATTCTAGCCCCTGAGATTTCACTGTGTTTTGTGGGTTTCCTATTCCTCACTACAACTATGTGTGTGGTTCTTTTACTAAGCTCTTTCAATGTATTTAAATTTGAATGTACTATCTCTTTCCTGGTGGAAAGCTACATAATATGCATGGTTATATCTGAATTGTACTGAACATGTGTGGGAAAATGGTATATGAAAGAGATGGAAATTTTAAAATTGAGCAAAGGGTATCTAGTAGTAAATACAGTGTTTTAAAGCAGAATCCTCACCAGGACTTTAAGTGGTGAATGTAGTTTGCCAAGGTATCTTGCAATGTTTTAGCAAATGGAAAGATATTCTATTACACTGACATCTAAGGTTAAATCTTTAAAGATATTCTGGTTGCTTTTAAGATTTCATCTTTGTTTTGTAGCAACAACAAAATTGTAATTCATACATATTGTATGATCTCAAAGGAGTGCACACCAGATTTGCCTAATAATCTTACCAGAGTGCCTTAAAGTTCTATTTATTATATACTCATTTGTAGTAAAGTAGGAAATCTGACATTCTGAAATATTATCTTCTGAAAGAGGTGTACCACTGTCTTTTTATGTACTTTTAAGGCTTCTATCAGATACTATTAAATACATTGAAATCTGAGTGAAGTAAAATTCTTCCTTTTCAGTGAATAATAGCTTCCACCATAAATATCAAAATGGTATATAAAAACCAAACCATTCATATAGAGGAGAAGATTTAGAGATTAAAGTTTACAAATTTCCAGGAACAGTGACAGAAATGGTTTTAATTTCAGTCTTAAATGTCTTTAAGCCAGGAGATTAATCACTTTTAAGCATTTGTTTAAAATGGGGCCCATAGTTATGAAAAAAGCACTGCCTAACAGCAGTGCCAACTTGGAGCCAACTCAAGATGAACTGTAATAAAGTACTCCCATGATATAGTTAAACAGATCTAATACACAAGATAACAACTGGAGACAAATCCATGAGCTCATGAGCTCTTCACCATTCAGTTTAATTCCCCTACCCATTGCAATTTGGTGTCTACCTTAAATATTCCTTCAAAAAATGCTCAAAAAGTCCACAGTGGTTTTTTTTAACTGTGACATCTTCTCCACATTTCTGGCAGCAATTTTTGGGGAAATCATTTCACTCATGAAACTCAATAGTACAATTATCTAGTCCCTTAATTCTGCTTTCTCCTATCTGGCCACTCTTTTTTCCTTCTTTCCTGGTATACCTTTCACTAACTACCTCTTAAATATTTGTGTAATGCAGGGTTCAGTTTTTGGAACTTTTCTCTGCTCATTCTATATGATTTTAGAGGGCTAAGTTAATCCCTTCATAAGAGTGATCTTTTATTCCAGTGAATTTAAAAAATCTGTATTTATAATAACCCCCAATCATATAACCTGTGTTGTAATATAACATGTATTGTAAAATGGTTACAAGGTATATTTTACATAGACTTTAGTTTCAATACATCCAGGCCAAAGTCCTTATTTTCCTCTCCAAAATTGCTCTTTCCTCTTCAGCTTTCCTTTCAGTTAATGAAATCACCATTCAGTGAGTCACCCAAGCTAGGAAACCTCATTATGATCCTCAACTTATTCATTTATCTCCTCTCTCACATTCAATCAGTCAGCACATCGTGTTAATTCCGTCTCCTGAATAGCTCTGGAATCTGTCTTCTACCTCTCATTCCCACAGCTACCTTTCTTGTTTATAGGCTCATCATCCCTTTTTCAGCTTCTAACCATGGCATCCTAACTAACTTCCCCAACTCCTATGGTTGGCTCATGATGTCCTGAACTTCCACTGATTGTTGGCATTACTACAAATGTATAATTCTGAAACATAAATAAATCATATCCAACTCTTACTTTAAAAGCTTCAATTACAGAATTAAATACCTACTTATATGGGATCTGCCTTAGGATAAGCCAGAATTCCAAATGGTAATATGCTCTTTGAAAAGAAAATATAAGAGAAAGTTTCCTTTCACAGAAAAGCATAGAAAATGCATAAAGAGAAGCATCCTTATTAATTTTTAGTGCAGTGTTGAATTTTATGGCTTTTAGAATCATACACTGGTTATATTTAACCCTCAAGGATACAATACAAATTAATTATAGCTATTGTTCACTAATGATTTTCTCTTTAAATAAAATTATTCGATGGTCTCTCTCTCTTCCTCTCTCTCTCTCCCTCTCACACACACACATGCACACACACCTTTATAATTTATACATTATGTAAATGTATACACATGTGTATATACTGCTTAAGCAACAATCTCAGAAACAATATTTATGAATTCATAAAAATTTATGAATTCATTAAAAATGAGTCTAAACTAATTAGAAAGACTTTTTTTAGAAAGAACTCTTGGGGTGCATGGAAAAAATGAAAATTGTTTCTAATCAGCACTTTTCCTCTTAATGAATAGGGCCAATGAGTTGGTATTAAAATGTGCATTTATAAATAGGATTCTGCAAGCATGTGACATTACACACCTGCCCGACAGCTTTAAATTGCAAATGCAGTTTTTTCTTATCTTTTTCTATTTTGTATTTATTTATAGTAATTTATCAGATTATTTTTCTACGTGATAAAATTTCTATTACTTTCTGTTATTTAACATTCCCTGTGCTCTGCTTAATAGCAGTGTGCTGGCTAGCTTTGGGTATTAATAAATTATATCAAATAAAATGAACATGGTAACTGGCAACCTTATGAATTATTATTCCACTATATGTCTAGAAAATGCTTTGATTTAAAGAACCTGTTATTGCTAGAAAAGTTGCCTTTGCTCCTCTTTTTCTTTGTAAAATGTTTTAGTAATTTTAGGTTTCTGAATTATGCTTCTAGAGAGGCTGAAAACTCAAGAAATGTGGACTAAGTGTGTGGGCAAGTGTGTCACTGCTGACTAAAACTATGAACAGGTTTGTTTACCATGATTCTCTTCTATTAGGCAGTGAATGTGTGGCAAATTGAAAATGGCATGATTGATAGTTATGAAATAAAATAACGAATAGTTTTTTTGGTGTCCTCTTATTCTTTGATTCTATCAATAAAAAGAAGACTATTTCGAAGTTCTAAAGAATAGTTTTGTAGTATTTCATACATAACAATGCAACATTCTTAGGAGTATCAGTTGGCTCTCAGAGTGACAGTAACTAGAACATTAAAATATTATTTGATACATTTTTGGCTTTGAAACTGACATTCAAAGTATAAAGATGTCACTACAATGACTAAAATACAATCTAAAATCAATGCTTTAAATTATCATAATCAATGAACAACATTACTTAGATATGCGTTTAAACTAATGAATGGAAATGGGTAGATACTTTTATTTTGACATAGTTATAGATAATGCTTAGATACCTAAAAGAGTTTTTCTGACTTTTTCAAAAATGCAAAATGAAATAACATACAGCCAAAATCACAATTCAGGTAACCAGTGTCTCATTTCTGCATTTGTTCTATCAGAGCCTGAATCTGGCCAAATCTAGTGATGTTTATCAACTTAAGAGCTTCAGTGATGGAGGAGACAAAAAATTCTTCATAACATTACATTGAAGAATAAATCTTAGAACATGTTTTTACTTGCAGCCAAAGGGAAATACACTGCTCCAGTTGGCATAGTTTATAGCCCCAATACTTAATTATTATCTATGACTGAGCTTAATTGAAAGTCTAAGATAACCAGAATGTTTGCTTAACATTCCAAAATCAAGGAGTATTATAGATTCATGGATAATAAATGGTCCTGCAATAATGGGATTCCAATCTCACATAATACACAAAAAACAATTTCAGGTGGAATTTATGTTCACCAAAAGACACTTACAAAATGTGAACACTTGTCAACAATCCAAAAGAAGAGCTTACAATGCATAAAATTAACAGAGCATGTATCCAAAATAGCTAAAGAATAATTCTTATGATCAGTAGTTCATTATTGATCAATTCTTTGACTCTATCAATAAAAGGAAGACTCTTTTGAAGTTTTAAAGAATACTTTTGTAGTATTCCACACATCACATTGCAACAGTCTTATGAGTATCAGTTGGCTCTCAGAGTGACAGAAACTGGAACAGAAGGATATTATTTGATAATTTTTTGGCTTGGAAGCTGACAGCCAAAGTATACAGATCTTCTAACTATAATGACTAAAATACAATCTAAAATAAATGCTTCACATTATCATAATAAATGAAATGACAAAACAATTTCATAAATTTCACTGAAAAAGCAACACAACTAGCCCACAAAATTCATAAAAAGATGTTAAATTAATGAATAGTCAAGGAAATGAAAATTGAAACCACAATGATATGCAATTTTGTACTCAGCAGATGGGCAAGGTCAACTAATATCATCTTTGACATGGCTATTGGCTGGTGGGAATGGTAACTATTATAGCTACCTTGTAAATCAGTTTAGTGTGACCTAGTAGAGATGAACATGTATGCATATATTCTATAATTAGCAATCCTACTCCTAGTTAATCCCCCAGAAAAACTCTTGCACATGTATATTAAGATATATTTACAAAACTGTATCAGTTTTGTAAAAAACTGTTTTGTACAAAACTATCCTTAGGACCTACAAATGGTATGATAATTTATAGGATATTTGTACAATCACTTAGCATAGCAGTGAAAACAAAGACCTGGAGCCATACACATCAAAATAGATAAATTTAAAATCTAAATTTTGAGCTAAAAGAAGCCCCTCACAAAAAAATTCAAAAAATATTGTATGTCTTGGCCTAAATAATGGCTACTCAGGTATTTTTAAAGAAATTTTTGCTTATGTTCCTATGCCCACTTATTATGTATGTTATATTTTAGATTTTAAGAAATCCAACGTCTAGAAAGGTAATACTGTTTATGAAGGAGAAGAAAGCATAAGAAGGGAAAACATTTGGGAGATTTTCTCATGGAGTTTATTTTTAACTTCCCTTCAGCACCCTAGAATTTTGCTTTCTTTTCATGTCTAACTTGCAAAGCCCTCTATTACCTTAGCTCTCTTTCATATAGCTGTGAAGGTTTTACTAAATTAGTTAAAAAAAGCAAAAATGCTAGTACTTTATCTTCTCCTTGGAAACTTGAGCTTATAAGGTATCAGTGTTATTAATATTTAGTAATAGTGTGTGAACAATTGATAGGAAAGCATTGCCAGCAAGGTTGACCACACTGACATTGGTGGAGGACCCAGTGATGACAGAAATAAGCTAAACCTTGAAAATAAGTAACTCTAACTGAAGAAGCAATGCTGTTGATGGTGACTGTTGGTAAGGCTGACAACAAAAATTAGATGTATAGTGAGAAAAGGAGAAAAATAGCAGATAGTCTAGAGTAGATACTACATAAAACTTTTTAGGATTATTTCTTAAGGCCCAAGTGAAACAGTTCTTGGGGACTCCCAGTATGATAAGAAATTTGAAATTGTTTTGTTAAAAACAAACTGGATGGAGTAGCATCAGGTTTGGGAGGAGCTGCTGCTAATGATAATATATATATATTTTAAATGTATGTATTTTCTTACTACTTATACATTGCTTACATCCAAGTCACTATAGTTTTAGAAATATGTTAACATTTTAGAAAGATAAATCTCCTAATGTATACATATGTAACAAACCTGCACGTTGTGCACATGTACCCTAGAACTTAAAGTATATTAATAAAGAAAAAAGAAAGATAAATGTATTTCCCAGAGTAAACATGTTATAATGGTTTGGCTCCATATAGCCAAATAATATTGTTCAAAAGTTTTGGCATTGGCTTGATTCTATATACATAATTATAATATTGTTACCAGAAATAATGCATTTTGGGTATTAACTGAATTTATGAATGAATATTTGAAATATACCATATTTACAAATTGGGAGATGACCAAACATGAACATGGAAATTTACAGAGGGTATAATTTGTTGATAAACATTAAATAGAAAACTGGTGAAGCAGTCATGCATTGTAGCAGGCCATAAGGAAAAAGCAACGTGCTGGTTGAATGGAACTTTTATAGTCAGTTTGGGCTGCTACAATAAAGTATCATAGACTTGGTAACTTATAAACAACAGATTTATTCCTTACATTTCTGGAGACTGGAAGTCCGAGATTATGGTTTCAGCATGGTCAAGACTCCGGTGAGGGTCCTTCTCTAGGCTGCAACTGCTAACTTCTTGTTATATCCTCGTATGGGAGAAAGAAAGTGAGGCAACTCTCTGGTTCTTTTATAAGTTCACTAATCCCATTCATAAGGGCTCTGATAGGGTTTGGCTCTGTGTGCCCAAGCAACTCTCATGTCAAATTATAATCCCCACATGCTGAAGGTGGGGTCTGGTGGGAGGTGATTGGATCACAGGGGTGGTCTCTAATGATTTAGTGCCACCCCCCTACTGCTGTCTTGTGATAGAGTTCTCGCGAGATCTGATGGTTAAAAAGTGTGGCACCTCCCCCCTTGCTCTTTCTCTCTCCTGATATCTTTTAAGATATGCCTTACTTCCCCTTTGCTTTCCACCATGATTGTAAATTTCCTGAGGCCTCTCAGTCATGATTCCTGTCAAGCCTGCAGAACTGTGGTCAATTAAACGTCTTTTCTTCATAAATTACCCAGTCTCAGGTAGTTCTTTATAGCAGTGTGAGAATGGACTACTACAGAAAATTGGTACTAGAAGAGTGGGGCACTGTTATACAGATACCTGAAAATGTGGAAGCAATTTTGGAACTGGGTAACAGGGCAGTGGCTGGGACAGTTTGGAGGGCTCAGAAGAAGACAGGAGGATGAGGGAAAGTTTGGAACTTCCTAAGGACTTGTTGAGTAGTTTTGACCAAAATGCTAATAGTGATATGAACAATGAAGTTCAAGCTGAGATGGTCTCAGATGGAGAAGAGGAACTTATTGTGGCCAGGGGCAAATCTTGCTATTCTTTAGCAAAAAGACTGGCAGCATTGTGCCTCTGCTCTAGAGATCTGTGGAATTTTGAACTTGAGAGACATGACTTAGGGTATCTGGTGGGAGAAATTTCTAAGCAGCAAAGTGTTCAAGATGGAGTCTGGCTGCTTCTAACAGCATACAGTCACATGCATTCAAAAAGAAATGATCTGAAATTGAAACATACGTTTAAAAGGCAAGCAGAGCCTAAACATTTGGAAAATTTGCACTCTGACCATGTGGTAGAAAAGAAAAACCTATTTTGTGGGAAGAAATTCAAGCCAGCTGGAGAAATTTGCATAAGTAATGTGAAGCCAAATGTTAATAGCCAAGAAAATGGAGAAAATGTCTCCAGGGCACTTCAGAGATCTTTGAAGCAGCCCCTCCTATCACAGGCCCAGAGTCCTAGGAGGAAATAATGGTTTTGTGGGCCAGGCCCAGGGCCCTGCTTCTCTGTGCAGCCCCAGAACATGACACCTTGTGTCCCAGCCCCTCCAGCTCCAGCTGTGGCTAAAAGGCACCAAAGTATAACATAGGACATTGCCTCAGAGGATGCAAGCCTCAATCCTTGCCAGCTTTCATGTAGTGTTGGGCCTGTGGGTGCGCGGAAGGCAAGAGTTTGGGAACCTCTTTCAAGATTTCAGAAGATCTATGGAAATGGATGAATGTCCAGGCAGAAGTCTGCCATAGGGGCGGAGCCCTCATGGAGTACCTCTACTAGGACAATGCTGAGGGAAAATGTGGGGTTGGAGTCCCCACAGAGTCCCCACTAGGGCACAGCCTAGTGGAGCTGTGAGAAGAGGGCCACAATCCTTCAGACACCAGAATGGTAGCTCCAGTGACAGCTTGCACCATCTTACTGGAAAAGCCATAGGCACTCAATGCCAGCCCATGAAAACAGCTGTGGGGGCTGTACCCTGCAGAGTCACAGACGCGGGGCTGTCCAAATCCTTGGAAGCCCACTCCTTGGATCAGTGTGGACTGGATGTGAGGCATGGAGTCAAAGGAAATTATTTTGGAGCCCTAAAATTTAATGACTGCCTTGCTGGGTTTTGGAATTGTAGCCCAGGAACCTGCAGCCCCTGTGTTTTGGCCAATCCCTCCCATATTAAATGGGAGCATTTACCCGGTGTTTATCCCCCCATTGTATCTTGGAAGTAACTAACTTGTTTTTGATTTTACAATCTCATAGGCAGAAAGGACTTGCCTTGTCTCAGATGGGACTTTGGACTTGGATTTTTGGGTTAATGCTGGAATAAGTTAAGGCTTTAGGGAACTGTTGGGAAGGCATGATTCTGTTTTGAAATGTGAGAAGGACATGAGATTTTGGAGGGGCCAGGGGCAGAATAATATGGTTTGGCTTTCTGTTCCCATCCAAATCTTATGCCAAGTTGTAATCCCCATGTGTTAAAGGTGGGGCCTGGGGGGAGGTGATTGGATCATGGTGGTGGTTTCTCATGGTTTAGTACCATCTCCCTAGTGCTGTCTCAAGATAGAGTTCTCACAAGATCTGATGGTTTAAAAATGTGGCACTTGGCCCCTTGCTCTCTCTCTCTTTTGCTGCAATGTAAGATGTACCTTGCTTCCCCTTTGCCTTCAGCCATGATTGTAAGTTTCCTGAAACCTCCAAGCCATGCTTCCTGTTAAGCCTGTAGAACTGTGAGTTATTTAAACCTCCTTTCTTCATATATTACCAAGTCTTAGGTCATTCTTTATAACAGTATTCAAATGAACTAACACAGGCTCCAACCTCATGACCTAATTTCCTCCCAATGGTTGGGGATCAGGATATCAACATATAAATTTGGAGGGGGAGGATAGACAGACCAATATTCAGTCCTCAACAGCACACCTTCTGAGGAATGGAAGTGATTGCCTCCCACTAAAAAGGGGAAAAATGAGATATTTACCTAAAAAGCGAGAAGAAGATATGCTGAATGATGTAAACTCTCCATCCCCAGATGAGATGAGGAAGTGTTCACTGACCAAAGTCCTGGATTCAGAGAGAGAGAATCAAAACCAAGAAACTAAGGCAGTATAGAACCCACGAATGTCAAAACAACAACAATAAAAAAATCAGTAGTGATTCTGAGAGATATTAATTGTGACGAAAGCTTTTGTTGTTTATTTTTCTTTTGTTCTTGTTTATTTGTTTTTGTTTTAAAGAAGTCTAAAAAAATTTCTCATATAACCCACTACAGTTAACTTCACATTTTATAGACTCTCATAAGATTAGGTACTTGACAAAATGACAGCATTTAGCTTTGCCAGTTTCATAAATGCAAGTCACTGAAATAATGTTGCTTCTGTTAATTAAGTTTATTAATACAATTTCATGGTAAGAATACCTGTTCTGAATTTCAGATTTCTATCACTACCCGAGAGATAGAAGGTTTTTGAAGGAGAAAGTAAAAAGATATGCCAATTTGGCAATGTTTCATGAAACTAAATGCCTGTGTAAATGCAGGAAAATAATATACTAACACAGGAATGATCTATGTAGACACATTAAAATTCAAGAAACATATTAGCACAATTACATAGGACTGATTAATAAGCATCACACAAATATAGAGAAATAGAAGTGAAATTAAAATAGTATTTACTGTGGCTCTTATTCATAATATTACAATTTTAAAACATTCATATTTAAAAGTTAATATGGTTATGTTATCCAAATATTTTTAGTTTCCTAAACAACAACAAAAGAAGCTACTTCTTTTAGACTTCTTTCATATAAATGATATTGATTATGAAGCAATTTTATCTCATAATTAATTATTTACTTTGTAAAACAAGTATGTCTGTATCATATAGATTTTAATGTAGATCAGAATTCAGATTCATATTATTTGTGGTTAGTTTTTTAATATAACTGTGAACGTACATGTGTTAACAAAATTCTTTCTACACATGTTTATTCCACAAGTGTATACTTAAAATCAGACATGATTTTGTATGTTCATGATACAGTAGTGAATGAAATAAATTCCCTCCCTTGTATATTTTATACTCTACTTTATAAAGTTTTTTTAACTTGTATTTTCTTAAATTTGTAGTCTTCTATGGTGTTTAAAAATTACAAGTTACCTATCACCATCTATAATAAAGAAAAGTACAGAAATGTTATTTTTCATTGTTAGCATTAACGTAAAGAATAGCAATCACAATTTGCTCTTGCATAGTCACTTTCATTCATGATTCTCAAAGAATAACATTTTATAGCACCCAAGAGAGACAGGGAGGTATTATTATTTCAATTTTACAAATGATAAAAATGTGTCATGAAAGCTGAATTCAGAGTTTCCTCCATATCTCAATAGAGCTCTTAAGAAACCCCATAGCTATGGCAAGGTTTCAGTTTACGTATTGTTGTGTACCTCTGTGGCTATGGCACTGTTTTCATTACTCAAGGTAGACATTCTTTGGTAAATGAAATAGAGCAAATCTTTATGGGGACTGAGTTTTCGAACAGTGTTATACAGTTGATGGAACCTTCCCAGCAAATTGTATAGTAAAGGCAGACTGACCCATGCTCATTTCTTATGTCATTTCCACATAGAAACGTAAAGCCACATATACATTTGGTTCAGAGAAAACAGATCATTTTGCCCAAGACCTTCTTATTTCATAACTTGGAAAACCCAAATAAAATTTTAAATACAATTTCCTCAACACAACAAAAAATGATAAACAACAACCAACAAAAGAACAAGCAAGCAAAAACAACTAAACATTTTTTACAATAAACAAATACTTGCTCTATCCTAAAGAATACATTAATGCTCAATTAACTCATAGTATAAAAAGGTAGCCAATTACATTAGTGAGCAGACAGAGATTTAAAAACAAACAAGCAACAAACAAACATGCCAGGTGATTCAATAAACAGACTATTGTAACAACTATCATTATAATGTTAGAATAGCTGAAACCAACCATGTAGGAAGGAGAAGCAAGCAGAAGTCACTGAAAGAAGCCTCTAAACCAAGCTCTGGAGGGGGTGTTGGGAGGAGGCTGTATAAAAGCCTGAGCTGTCAGGTTGAAGCCATGGAAAAGACACAGCCAGTGCTCTTTGATAACAATTCAAATAGGACACAAATATCTTCATACTCTGTCCTCTTTCTGAGAGGTCAAAAACAAACGCTTCTCCTCCAGATCTCCTTGACACAAATCTTATAACTGGGTTTCTCCAAGTTCCTCACAAATTAACCAAACGATTAGCCAATGCACATGAATAAGTACTATGAAATATTTTTCCTTTCATGCCAAATGAACAACTAGATGTGTTGTTCGAATTTCACCTCACTGGGAGTGTTTTCTTTTAGGGACACATTGACTGGATTATTGAAATAGGTTTTTAACTATGAACTGGTTTTCTCCAGATTGCACCTCATATGTCATTTTTCCTCCTTGAGTTTGCTTTGTATCCTTTCACTGTATATGTGTTTCCTGTCTCTACCTCTTATTCTTATTTTCCACATGACAGCCAGCGTCATCACTTTAGAACATAAAGTATATCATGACAGTCCTGTGCTCACAACTCCAGAGAAGTTCCCACTCACTCACTCGCTCAAAAAAACAAAAACAGAAACAAAGCCCGAATCCTGACATGGTCAAAAGATCACTTGTAATCTAACCTTTCACTATCACTGAACAGTCTCGTAGCACAGGCATACCTTGGAGATATTGCAGGTTTGGTCCTAGACCACCACAACAAAGTAAGTATCATAATAAAGTGAGTCACACAATTTTTTTTGTTTGCTTGTACATATAAAAGTTATGTTTATACTATACTATTCTCTATTATAGCAGTCCCCAACATTTTGTTACCAGAAACTAGTTTTGTGGAAAACAATTTTTCCATGGATGGTGCAAGGAGGATGGTTTTGGAATGAAACTGTTCCACATCAGATCATCAGGCACTAGATTCTCATAAGGAGCACACAACCTAGATTCCTCGTACGCATAGTTCATAGTAGGGTTTGCTCTCTTTTGACAGTCTAATGTCGTGGCTGATCTGACAGGAGGCAGAGCTCAGGTGATAATGCTTGCTGGCCTGTGGCTCACCTCCTGCTGTTGAGGCCCAGCTCCTAATAGGCCACAGACCAGTATCCATCTGCTGCCCAAGGGTTGGGGACCCCTGCTCTGTTAAGTGTGTAATAACATTATGTCTAAAAAAGAATGTACGTACCTTAATTAAAAATACTTTGTTGCTAAAAATGCTAACAATCTTCTATACCTTCAGTATGTTATCATCTTGTTGCTAGTAAAGTGTCTTGCCTCCAAGTGGATGGCTGCTGACTGGTTGCTGAAGATTTGGGTGGATATGGCAATTTCTGAAAATAAGAACGATGATGAAGTTTGCCACACCAATTGACTCTTCCTTTCACAAAAGACTTCTCTTTAAAACTTGATGCTGTTTGGCAGCATTTTACCCACTATAAAACTACTTTCAAAATTGAAGTCAATCCTTTAAAGCCTTGCTGCTGCTTGATACACTAAGTTTATGTAATATTCTAAATCCCTTGTTGTCCTTTCAACAACGTTCACAGTATCTGTACCAGGAGTAGATTCTATCTCAAGAAACCACTTTTTTGGTCCCTCGTAAGAAACAACTCCTTATCCATTCAAATTTTATCATGAGATTATAGCAGTCGTATCTTCAGATTCCACTTCTAAATCTAGTCCTTATGCTATTTCTACCACATCTGTAGTGACCTCCCCCATTTAAGTCTTGAACCCTTCAAAGTCACCCATGAGGGTTGAAATGAGCTTCCCACTAACTCCTATTGATGTTGACATTTGGATCTCCTCCCCCATGAAACACAAAAGTTCTTAATGGCATCTAGAATGATGAATCCTTTCCAGAAGGTTTTCAATTTACTTTGCCCATATCTATCAAGAGAATCACTATCTATGGCAGACATAGCCTTACAACATATATTTCTTAAATAATAGACTTAAAAGTAGAGATTTCTCCCAGATCCATGGGCTGCAGAATGGACGTTGTGTTAGCAGGCATAAAAAGGACATTAATCTCCTTCTGCGTCTCCCTCAGAGTTCTTAAGTGACTAGGTCATTGTCAATGAGCAGTAATATTTCAAAAGAAATATTTCTTTCTGAGCAATAATTCTCAAGGGCGGGCTTAAAATATTTAGTAAGCCATGCAGTAAGCAGATGTGCTATCTTCCAGGCTTTGTTGTTGTATTTATAGAGCACAGGCAGAGTACATTTGGCATAACTTTTAAGGACATTAGTATTTTTGAAATGCCAAATGACCATTTGCTTTAACTTAAAGTCAACAGCTTCATTAGCTGCTAATAAGAGAGACACCTTTTCCTTTGAAGCTTTGAAGCCAGATGTTGATTTCTCCTCTCTAGCTATGAAAGTTGTAGATGGCATCTTCTTCAAATAGAAGGCTGTTTCATTTACATTGAAAATTTGTTGTTTAGTGTAGCAACCTTCATTAATAATCTTAGCTACATCTGGTAGATAACTTGTGACGGCTTCAACATCAGCAATTGCTGCCTCATCTTGCACTTTTGTGTTACAGAAACAACTTTTTTTTTTTCCTTAAAACTCATGAAGGATCCTCTGCTAGCTTCAAATTTTCCTTCTGCAGCTTCTTCACCTCTCTCAGCCTGCGTAGAATTAAAGAGAGTTAAGGCCCTCCTTGGATAAGTCTTTGGCTCAAGTGAATGTAGCTGGTTTGATTTTCTATCCAAACCATGAAAGCTTTTCCCATATCAGCAATAAGCCTCTTTCGGTTTCTTATCATTTGTGTGTTCACCAGAGTAGCATTTGCAATTTCCCTGAAGTTTCTGCCTTTGCATTCACAACTTAGCTAACTGTTTGGCTCAAGAGATGTAGCTTTCAGCCCATCTTGGCTGTTGACATGGCTTTCTTTACTAAGCTTAATCATTTCTAGCTTTTGTTTTAAAAGTGAGAGACCTGCAACTCTTCCTATTACTCAAACAGCTAGAGGTCATTTTGGGGTTATTAATTGGCTTAATCTCAATATTTTTGTTTTATGGAGAATAGGGGGCCCAAAAAGAGAAAGCAAAATGATAGAAAGGCTGGTGAGTGGAGCAGTCAAAGCACACAGCACTTATTGATTATGTTTGCGTCTTACATGGGTGTGGTTTGTGGTGCCACCAAACAATTAAAATAGCATCATTAATCACTGATCATAGATTACCATAACAGATATAATAATAATAAAAAGTTTGAAATATTGCGAGAATTATCAAAATGTTACACAGAGACATGGCAATCACGTGCTGTCAGAAAAATGGCACCAATAAATTTGCCGAATGCAGGGTTGCTACAAACCTCAATTTGTAAAAAATACAACATTTGTGAAACACAAGAAAACAAAGTATGCCTGTATTGTCAAAGTAAAACTTGAACTGGACAAAGTTAAATAGACAAGGATGATTTATTTTATTTTATTTTATTTTATTTTATTTTATTTTATTTTATTTTATTTTATTTTATTTTTTTTTGAGACAGAGTCTTGCTCTGTCACCCAGGCTGGAGTGCAGTGGTGTGATCTCTGCTCACTGCAACCTCTGACTCCCTGACTCAAGTGATCCCCAACCTCACCCTCCCAAGTAGCTGGTACTACAGGCTCACGTTGCCACGCCTGGCTAATTTTTGTATTTTGGGCAGAGATGGAGTTTTGCCATATTGCTCAGGCTGGTATCAAACTGAGCTCAAGTGATCCACCCACCGTGGCCTCCCAAAGTGCTGGGATTACAGGCATGAGCCACCGTGCCCACCCGGAAGACTTTATTTAACACTCCTGCAATAGGTGATGGTGAGCTCTGCTGAAACAAAGGTCTATAGAATTTTTAAGAGCTGAGGTAGGTGGAATCATAGACTACCTGTGCTTACTGATTGGCCTTACCCAAAGGAAAAGTAAACCTTCATCTATTTTCATGACAGGAGGTAGTTTTACAGTTTGGAGTAATGTGCCTGCCCACTGCAGTTAAGCTCCCGTTCTTCCACAGAAACTCAGAAGTAGAAGTGTTGCACCCTTCTAAGTTTACACATCAATGAGATGCCTCCCAGGTCCTTGACAAAGACATTTCTTGGGTTTTAAAACTGGCGAGATGCTGGGCAAAGGTTTATATACATTTCAAAGGGGCAGGGAAAGAACATACAACTGGAAGTTTTTTTTTTTTTTTTTTTAAAGAAATGCTCTAAGAAGAGTCAGGGGCCTTAAGTCAGGAAGAAGCCTGCCTAAAATTTAGTCAAGTTGAGGGGAACATTAAGGCTGTATCTTGATCAGTTCTTACTCTTTTTATAACTTCAGACTCAGAAACAGTAGTTTCCTTCCTGTTCCTCAAAGACACCAAGTATATTTCTGTTCTATAATCTTTGCATTTGTTGGACTCTCTGGAACAATATTCTGCCAGCTTACTACATGGCTTGTTCTCTTATTTTCTTCTGATGTATACTCAAATGTCAACTTACCACCAGAGTGATATTTCATGACCACCCTATTTAAAACAGCAATCCTCCCTATATCCATTACTATGCTTTATTTTTCTATAACATCTGATATTATTATTCAATAACATCTGATATAGTATATATAATTGAAGTGCTAAGAACCTAATGATATAGCCTGAATTATTTTCTCATATAGTCTTAGAACTAGCATATCATAAGTGCTCATCGTAGGTGCTTGATATGGTTTGGCTGTATCCACATCCAAATCTCACCTTAATTTGCAATAATCTCTGCATGACATGGGAGGAGCTAGGTGGAGATAATTGAATGATGGGGGCAGTTCCCCCATACTGTTCTTGTGGTAGTGAATAAATCTCACAAGATCTGATGGTTTTATAAATGGGAGTTCCATTTCACAAGCTATCTCTTGCCTGCCGCCATGTAAGACATGTCTTTGCTTCTCCTTTGCCTTCCACCATGATTGTGAGGCCTCTCCAGCCATGTGGAACTGTGAGTCCATTAAACCTCTTTCCTTTATAAATTACCCAGTCTTGGGCATGTCTTTATTAGCAGCATGAGAACAGACTAATACAGTGCTCAATAAATTTGTGTTAAATACATGAATTAATGAAGTAGTTACTAATAACATTTCAGTTTTCAAAATGAAGAAAGTGAGGCATAAATATATTAAAGTACTTAGGTCCGTAGAGTCATTCAGTATCAGAGTTATGTATTAATCTACACCAACTTTGCTGACTTTAAATCTAAATATTCAGCTAGTAATTAAAAGACAGATTAGGAGTTGTAGTTTTTGAACAAATTCATGGAAATGATTTAAATATGTGCAACTTAATATGGAAAAGCAGAGTGGCCATTCAGTCCAAATGTGATTTTCGCATTGTTTCAACAAATTGTCCATAGCACCCATCACAGTGCCTGGCCCATGATTAAAACCATGTAAATAGTCAATGAATGAATGAATAAATCAATGACTGGAGTTAGCAGTCTAGATTTTTGACAACAGTTATGTAATTTGGGATATTTGGCTAATTTCTTTAAGCCTCAAAATTATTATTGGCAAATTTTGAACAGGCTAGATAGTCTCCTTAGTAGTGATGAAATGGTAGCCACCACAATCATACACCCTTTTTCACATAGAGAGAGTTGTTGCAGAGAAGTAGCTACCCAATCAGAGACTATATTTTCCATACTTGCATCTAGGGCACATTCCATTGCAATATAGTTGAAAGTCATTTATATCACTTCTGAGCTGAAGTTCAAGAAGAAAATGTGTCCCTTCCACATTTCCTTTATTTATTTTCTGGATGAATTTAGAGAACTTCAAGGCTGTAGTGGGGAATACAGCTAAAAGATGAAACAGCTCATTTCTCTGAATTACCATGTGGAAGAAAGCCATTCACCCACCAGCAACATCTAAGCAGTTATTTAACCTGAGTGTAAAATAGTAATCTGTGGTATATAGTCCATAAAACAGTTGAGTTTATTATAGCAGCTAACAATGCCCTTAATGTCATAATCACAAATGTTTATTTTAAATACAAAATTCCATGTTCTACACTCATGTCAAATCAGTAATTTTTTTCAGACATTAAACATAATTTCCCAGATAAAAGGCAGAAAACAATAGTAATGTACTAATTATTTTCCATTTTCAGGGCCATAACCCTAATTCTATTCCTAGTTAGCTAACACTTTTAATGGCCATATCGTTTCCAAGTGGTCTCCTTTCTTCTATTTTATTCTCCTTCAAATGATCATTATAAATGTTTTGTAGTTATTTTTCATTTATTCATATATTGACCTTTTATATGAGATAAACTCAAATGTTCACATCTGGCTTTTAATCTTTTTCTAAAATTCCTATCTAGGGTTTATCTCCTAGTGGTACCCAATGTAAATCTGCTTTAACCAGATCTCTAGCCCACACCTCTTTAAATCAACTATGCTTAGTTGAGTCTCTGAAGTTTTACCATTCCTTCCCCTGGGTTACTTTCTTTTTATCTGTAGTACTAATCTTTTAAGATCTATCCATAAGCTTTTTCTTCTTGAAAACTTCACTTTCCCTTCTGTCAAATTAATGTTAATTTCATGTGTATACACTTTGGTTCTTAATATTTTATGTCAGGAATGGAAGATGCTTAACTTATTTTGCCACCTTGGACCTAATCCTGTTTCTATAATTATATTGTAACAATCTTTCCCAGTTATTTTATAAAAACACTTTGCACAGGAAGGGTTCAGGCTGAAGCTTTTAATTAGATCAATTGACCCATTCTTGTTTTGAAATACAAGCTTATATCATTTAATTCTATTAAATTGTCTTTCATATATATATATATATATATATACACACACACACACACACACACACATATACATAATAGTTCTCCTATTAGACTACAATATTATTAAGAAAAGTAGTTTCTATAATTGGGCAAAACACAGAGTAGGGTTTTTTTATTTTTAGCTCTTAATGATGGTTAATATTAAAGAAAAAGCCCTCAACATCTGAAAACAAACAAGAAGTAGAACGTAAGAGTCCAAATTTGCAAATACAGCTCTAATAGTAAAATGTTCAAAACAAATCAGTCTGGCAGCAATGGGGTATAGCATTTTAAGTTCTCTGTACCATGCAGCATAAAAGTAAAAGATTTAAAGTTTATATTTAGAGGCAATATATTTGTCAGAAAGATGTAAAATTCCTGTTAAATGTTCACAATATAGAAAACATGTTATTACTTTGGTTCTATTTAGTATGAATTTTTTAAAACAGAGAAGGCAGAGGAAAATTATGGTATTAGGGTAATGTTATTTATATTTTTATTTTAGAAAAGCAAGATAGGTGATGTTTAAGTGAAGCGAAAATAATAAATTATAATGTTTAAGAAATGCTAATGGCATTCATGATCACTTTGGGAGGCTGAGATCAGATCATTTGAGGTCAGGAGTTCAAGACCAGCCTGACAAACATGGTGAAACCCTGTCTCTACTAAAAATACCAAAATTAGCCAGGTGTGGTGGTATGTACCTATAATCCCAACTCCTCAGGAGGCTGAGGCAGGAGAATTGCTTGAACCCAGGAGGCAGAGGTTGCAGTGAGCCGAGATGGTGCCACTGCACTCCAGTCTGGATGATGGAGTGAGGCTCTGACTTCGTTTTTTTTTTTTTAAAAAAAGAAACTGGCTGGTAAATATAAGAGGAAATAAATTATAAATCAAGAGTAATTTCTAATGTTTGGCAAATTTCTTCAGGTATAGGCAAAATAAAAGTTCCTATGAAGTTTATTGACATTTCCTCTCAGTGACACCATAACAAGGCAGTATTTCTTTCAATAAAATAATCTTAAGAAGTTAGAAAAAAAAGGCCATTAGGTTATGGCTTCTTTCTTACATTTCCTCAAATTTGTTTGATGCAACTATTTTTGCATAATTTGATAGAGTCGTCTAAAATTATGGATAAGCAATGTATGTGACAAAAACCAATACAAAACTATTCATTATTATAAACATAAAACATAAATTTCAACAATCTTTTTTGTGTTAAATTTTCAAATATTTAATATATATTTTTAAAACCCTGTTACTAACATTGTATATTCAATTATTAAGAAAATAAATACAATTGGTTTAGTATAAAGGTTTGAATTTTTTAATGAAAGCTTTTCAAACTAATATTTGAAATTAAACAAAAAACTAGCCTTTATCATTTACATAAAAAATTATTCAGTGATTGAAATTTTTCTCTTCTAAACATTTACAGAAATGCCAACAGCAGATAAAGGTATAAATACCGTTTATTTAGTGTTTATCTTTTCAGGCAAGTTCAAGTATTCTGTCAATTAGAACTTAAACGAATTCCAGACATCTGCATAATATGTTATTATTGGTGCTGTAAGAGGAATCAGGGTTGATAGGAACATAGTGGCAGGCTAAAAATGAGTTGTGTGACCAGGTGGTATGCAGAATGCTAGGCTTAAATTTGGACATGTCAGAGGTGTTTTAGTTATATAGATGGCTATGATTAAAGATTTGCATTAGAAGAGTAATTGGTAATAATATGGCCTGGAAGAGGCCTTGAGACTTGAAATAAAGACAATACCTATCAGAGGAAACACTCATCTATTCTCACTGGTCTCCTTCAGACTCACTTGTTTACAAAGCTACTGGTTGGGGAGGGGTAGAGTAGGCTGTTTAAAATGTAAATAGCTCCTCCAACAAGCTGGGGAGATTTCCATTACTTGAAAGTTGTTCTAGTTCCCTGGAGTTGGCAGGGAGCCAGAGCAGCAGGTTGAGGAGCCTGTTATATAGTCACTTCCCTAGTTGCTGCAGCTGCTGAGAGCAGATCCGGTCTATTTACCTGGTCGCCATGGGATTCTCCCTCTTGCTCAACCACCTGGCCAACCACAAACCAATCAATCCTAGCCTCCATTTCAAGGCTTTTCTAGGGCTCTGAAGAATTAATACCTCTCTGAAAGTACTTTATATTCAGGAAACACCTCATTAAATCATGAGGGTCAAGTATAATATATGAGATGGTCCATTTGGAAGGACCAGATCATCACAGACATATCTAGGGATGGGAGTTCTGAAAGGTTATACCTATCAGAGCGTGCCTTCAGTGTGATTAAATGTGTCTAACTAACGGGAGAGGGGTCAGCACACCCTATTGGCCTTTGCTCTCTGAATTCCATTAGTCTTGAGGTCAGCAACTGGACTACCTGTACATCTCTATTATGCATAAGTGATGTGGTTATATTCCAGGCAGCCAAGAAAAGCTAATCTGAGACTAGTGTAGATATATTATCCTCACTTCCACCACTCCTTTTGTATTTACCCAGAAAGCTTTTCTCTTAAATAATAAAATATAAAATTTCAAGATTGTCCTTGAAAGCAGGAATGGAGTAGGTAATTCACACTCTTGGTTTTTATTATCCTTAATGCCTTCCCCATCACAGAAGTTATATAAAATTTATCTTGTTCTAGGTATGATGCCATGACTTGCTTTTTTTTTTTATTCAACATTCTGCATTTAAGCATATTCATGTTGGCTTACAGAGAGTCTACATGGCTTCTTTTAAATGCTCTGTAGTATTCCATTGTATAAAGAGACCACAATTTATGTATCTATTTCTCTACTGATGGAGATGTTTGGATTAGTTTCAATTTTTCGCTCCAAAAATTATGTCAGGGCTTATAGCTCTGCATGTCTTCTTTATAGGTGAGAGAATTTCAGTAGGGTATATAATAAAAGTGTAATGGTTCTATCACAGACTATGCATGTGTTCAATTATCCTATAAAGATTGAAACTTTTATCCTGAATGATTTTACCAATATACCATTCAACAAAAGGTGTATGGGAGTTTTCTTTTCCCAACATCCAACAAATACTTAATATGGCCAGATTCATTTTTACTTTGCTAATCACCTGAATATGAAAAGAATCTCATTTTTCAAAATTTGCATTTCCCTACAGAAATGCAAAAAGGTTGTGAGCCTTTTCATATGTTTATTGGCCATTGTGCTTCCTTGTATACTAATTCCTGTTTATACCCTTTGCACATATTTCCTTTTGAGCTATTTCTTTCATTATTGATTTGTAGCAGTTACTTATATTTTCTCAGTATCTTTTCATTTATTATAAATGATCAAGTTATGTCCTCCAAGTCTATGGCTAGTACTCTAGTTTTGTTTACAGTATACTTGTCAAATGGAAAATTTTTAATGCCATCATATTTAGCCAGTCTTCTGGTTTTGCTTTGTATGCTTTGTGTCTTGTAGAGTGCTACAGACTGAATTGTTTTCTCTTTAAATTCATATGTTAAATCCCTAACCTTTAATGTGACTATATTAAGACATAGGAGGACCTCTGGGAGGTAATTAAGATTAAATGAGGTGAAAACAATGGTGATTTAATCTGCTCAGGCTGCTATAACAAAATACCACAGACCTAGTGGCTTAAACAACAAAAGTTTACCACAATTCTGGAAGCTGGAAAGCCCAAGATCAAAGGGATGGCAAGATAGGGTACATTCTTGAGAGGTGAAGCCGGCTGGGCTTCTGGGTCAGGTGGCGACTTGGAGAACTTTTTTGTCTAGCTAAAGGATTGTAAACACACCCATCAGCTCTCTCTGTCTAGCTAAAGGTTTGTAAATGCACCAGTCAGCACTCTGTAAAAGCAAACCAATCAGCAGTCTGTAAAATGGACCAATCAGCACTCTGTAAAATGGACCAATCAGCAGGATGGGGCCAAATAAGGGAATAAACGCTGGCCACCCAAGCCAGCAGCAGCAACCCACTGGGGTCCCCTTCCCTGTTGTGGAAGCTTTGTTCTTTTGCCCTTCATAATAAATCTTGCCACAGCACACTCTGGGTCCCTTTACGAGCTGTAACACTCACTACGAAGGTCTGCAGCTTCACTCCTGAAGTCAGCGAAACCACAAACGCACCGGGAGGAACAAACAACTCCAGACGCGCCACCTTTAAGAGCCGTAACACTGTGAAGGTCTGCGGCTTCACTCCTGAAGTCAGCGAGAGCACAAACCCACTGGAAGGAAGAAACTCTGGACACATCTGAACGAACAATCTCCGGACACACCATCTTTAAGAACTGTAACACTCACCGTGAGGGTCCGCGGCTTCTTTCTTAAAGTCAGTGAGACCAAGAACCCACCAGAAGGAACCTGGAAAGCCCAGGATCAAGCGGATGGCAAGATAGGGTATATTCTGACGCCTCTCCTCTTGGCTTGCGGTGATAAAGACTTTTTGCTTGTCCAAATTTTAATTAGTCTTCTGAGCTTCTCCTAGGTCCACCTTTGCACTTCCTTGTACAATTCAGTTTTAGCAAAGAACCCTGCTAAATCAGTTTAGCTAATCCCCCATCTTCAGTATCTGATTAGGTTCCTTATCCTCCACCATCATCCCAGATGATGTCTGATTACCCTGGCCTGTCTTCGGCAAGAATCCTGTTTAGTTGGTTAAGCCAGAATCCAGTTCACCCCGATATTTCCTCTTAGCAATTTCCCATCTACTGACACCCACACGGCTCTTCGACTATAAATTCCCATTTGCCAATACTATATTCAGCGTTGAGCCTAATCTTTCCCACACCCCATTGCAGTGGTCACTGTATCTATTGTGATGGTCCTTAATGAAGTCTTCCTTACCATGTTTTAACAAGTACCATTGAATAATTTTTTTCCCTTTAACAGTAGGTGGCTTACATCTCACTGTGCGCTCCTCACATGACCTCTTGTTCACAGGCAGAGAGAGGTCGAGCTCTCTGATGTCACTTATAGGGACACTAGTTCTGTCAGATTAGGGTGCAGCTCTTATGGACTCGTTTAATCTTAACTATTTTTGTAAATGCCCTATCTACAAATAAAAGTCACTGTTATTTAGGGGTAAGGACTTCAACATATGAATTTTGGGAAGAAAAAAAATTCAGTCTAAACCAGGTGGGAACATAATTTGATAGGATCAGTGGCCTTATAGTAAGAGGAAGAGACCTTTCTCTCTCTCGCTCTCTCTCTCTCTCTTTTTCTCTCTTCCCTTCTTCTCCTACTTGGGCTAAGAGGAAAGGTCATGTGAAGCCGAAGTGGCTGTGTGCAAGCCAGGAAGACAGCCCTCATCAAAAAACTGAATCAGCCGAAACTTTCATCTTGAACTTCTTGCCTACAGTACCATGAGAAAAAGAAATTTCTATTGTCTAAGCCACCCAATAGATGGTATTTTGTTATGGCATCCTGAGCTGAGTAAGACATATAGTATTCCTGCCTTCTACCAAGCTCATAAACAATTGCTATTATTTATGTAATTACTTATAATTACTTATGGCATTTGACCCATATAGTATATATAAAAATATATGCATCTATGAAATGAGAATACATTGATCCAAAAACATTTACTGAAGGGATGACTCTGTCACCACTGATTTTTAATGCTTCATATATCTTTTACCATGATGCCATACCATGATGCTATGTGATATGGTTTGGCTGTGTCCCCACCCAAACCTCATCTTCAATTGTAGCTCCCATAATTCCCATGGGTTGTGGGAGGGACTCTGTGGGAGATAATTGAATCATGGCTGCAGTTTCCCCCATACCATTCTTGTGGTAGTGAGTAAGTCTCACGAGGTCTGATGAGTTTATAAGGGGTTTCCCCTTTCATTTGGCTCTCATTCTGTCTTGTCTGCCACCATGTAAGACGGGCCTTTTGCCTTCCACCATGATCTTGAGGCCTCCCAACCACGTGGAACTGTGAGTCCATGAAACCTATTTTTCTTTAGAAGTTACCCAGTCTCAGGTATGTATTTATCAGCAGCGTGAAAATGGACTATATGTAAAATAGGGTTATTCCAATTGTCTATTTTGGTCAATTAGTCAATTTTGGTTTATTGTTCATCTATGTAGTACATCAAGGCCACTTTACCTTGACTGCCATCCTGGTAATAGTGAGTCCTGGTATCTGGTAGGTCAAGGGTCCTCCTTTTTTTTTTTGAGAGTGTTTTAAATGCACCTGTGATCTAGGTGATTTAGTAGGTCTGGAATGGGACCTAGATTCTGAATTTTATCTAAAGCATGTAGATTTTGACATTGAACAGCAGGCTTTTAGAAATAAGTTTGTAAAAAGTTTTGTTGAATAAAAATAAAGTTGAAAGGCGAATGTAAATGCAATAATGCGTGAAATAATCTGCCAAGAATTGATTGTGATTTAAAATATAAAGTCCTCCCATAATAGAACATAGTACTTTTTTCAGATATTTATATCCTTTAACAATGTGTTTTAATTTTCTTTATAAAAGGGCACTCTTTGTTAGGTTTCTACCCAGATAGCCTAAATTTTATATTGCCTTTATAAATGGTATTCTTTTTTCCTGTTCAATACTGAAATAGAGAAAATCGGTGGTATATGTGAAAGCTTTTCATTTTTATATGATGATCTTGTATTCAGCAACCCCAATGAATTACCAGGTCTAGTAGTGAGATAGCTGAAATTTGCTTTCTTTAAAAATAACTTGCCTGAGTTAGGATGAAGCACATAGGGTCCTTACTTTCCTTTTTTTTCTATTTGCTGCAAGTTTTGGATTACCTGTTCTAGATAGATTGGTAAAATTTGTCTAGATGCAGTGTATTCCCTGTTCCCATTCCTTTTGTGAGTGGGATTGGCCCAAGGTTTTAATTGCTGACTTTGTACTTTAATGGTGACAGATTTAGTAATGTTTTCTATTTTTTCTTGATTCAAATTTGTTTCTATTTTTTTAATAAAAGATCTTGTCTCAAATTATGGTCTAAAAACTCCTGTGGTTCCTGGAGAAACTTTCAGGGAGTTCATGAAGTAAAAAACAGTTGTGTAATTACACTATACTGAAATATTATTGTTTTTACTCTCATTTTTTCACAAGTGTATAGTGAAAGGTTTCAGAATTTCAGAGATGAAAGAGTGGTATTGTAGCAGATTTAATGTAGTATCAAGCGAAAGTTTAAAGAAACATGCACTATTCTACTTTTTTGTTTCTTTTGCTATAGTTATCTCATGTAGTTTATATTTATATTAGCATGCAGTGAGCTTGTTATTGTTATATTTTAAAATATATTAATAAAGGCACATTTTAACATTGCTTTAATTTTTAAGTGATAAATGTTGATATATAAGCCTGCATAAATACAAGCTCTTTGAGGTCCTCAATTTTTAAAATCATAGAGTTCCTGAAACCAAAATGTTTGAAAACTACTATTCTGGAAAAATTTTTGTTTTGTCAAAAGTGTCAAATTCATTGATATAAAAGTGTTCATCACTTACACATCTTTTAAAAATATTGATGTACTAATCTCTCTATGTTTATACTGAATTCCATTTAAAAATTTATTTTCTTACAAGTTTCAAATAATCATATTTAAATGCTTATTTTTTTCATTCTTCTGTTTATTGAATATTAAAATTTGCTGTTTGTGTATTCTCTTCTTTTTGTGTACCTTTCCCTTACTTTTATGTCATTAATCTAGGCTCTTGAATAGTTGCCAAATAAGCAATCATTTTTTAAAGAAAGACTGCAAATATATTTTTAAGTATCACTTAAACTGTGTCACAAGTTCTTTGATGCAGAATTTGCTTATTACTTAATTCTAAGCATTTAAAAATTGTCATTCTTTTAAAATTCCATTTTTACAAGCTTTTAATTGTTGGAAAATTAATTACATGGAGATTCAGTGCAGTATGCATGGTTTAAATTCATTTAGTTTTGTTTTAAATTTTCTATGCAATGTAGTATGTGGCAAATATTTGTAAATATCCACATGCACTTCAACATTGTTGATTACATGAATACATAACCATGAACATGTATAGTAGCTTTGGCTTTCTTTGAATTTTTTTGATTAATCATTAGCAAGTATTAAACAGCTTGATCTATCAGTTTCTGAGATATGTACATTTAAGTTTTATGATTGATAATTTATCTGTTGCTTCTTAATATTCTGTCAGTATTTTCAATATATATTTCGAGGCTATATTATTGAGTGCATATATGTTTATTACTGCAATGTATTATTGACTGGTTGTGTCAAGAATTGTAAAGCAACTAAAATTTACTCTGCATGCAAGCTCAAAAGTTGTTAAAATCCAGAAGACACAAGACTCCTGGTTTAGAGCAAATGGAAAGTTTATTATTCACAACAATAGCAGCAGTCACAACATTTTCATATTCTTATGCCTGTTCCCAGATCTCAAATTCCCATACAGTGATGTTACAAGGGCCCAATAATGCCTACGTGAGCATTAAAATGTGTTATAAGAGAATTGCAAACTTAAGAGACCCTAGTCTTTTATAATGTGCTGCAAGCAAATAAATCCAAATTCTTCTGTAGAGGGAGTTGTTAACTTTTATTCTACTCAGCAGTAAACAAACCTACCTCTGCTCTGGAAAAATAGCGTATCTCTGTTTTCCAAACCTGTTTTCTATACAAACCTCTTTAAAAAGATAGATAGTTGAGAAATAATGCTCTCAGTACCTCTGTAAGCTGTGCAAAAATTCAAGAGACCATTGGTGAATTGTCTTCTAATAAGTTGTTTCTATTTATCATTAGAAACAATCTAATTTGTTACTAGGAATAGCTTTATTTATTAACTAAAGATAATGAATATAACAATTGTTATTGGTAACAATTTATTAACTAAAGATAATGAATATTACATAATTGTTAACAATAATTGTTTTTACCATAATTGTTATTGGTAACAATTATGTAATATTCATTATCTTTAGTAAATAAAGCTATTCCTAGTAACAAATTAGATTATTTCTAATGATAAATAGAAACAACTTATTACCAATTGTTATTGGTAACAATTATGTAATTGGTATAATTGTTATTGGTAACAATTATGTAATTGGTAACCAATAATTTGTAATAATTGTGTAATATTCATTCTTTTTAGGTAATAAATATTATAATGTGGCATGAATATTTCCATACTAGCATTAACTGTTAAGTGGTTGACAGATATATTTTCTCAACACTTTTATATATTATTTTCAATTTGACTTTTGATTTTGATTTGAAGGTAGAAGCGTATGAATTTTAAAAATCTAATTAGAAATATTTGACTTTTCACAGTAAAAAAGTTATACACAATATAAAAATATAAAAGTACAGTTTCTGCTATACTTTTAATGTGTCTGCTACAGTTTATGTGTTGGCGAGTTAATCCCCAAATTAACAGTGTTCATAAGTGGGACCTCTAAGAAGTGATTTGGTCATGAGTGCTCCACCCTTATAAATGAGTTAACACCATTTTTTTTTTTAAGTGGGAGTGGGTGAGTTTTCATGGAAATGGGTTCTTCATAAAAGGATGAATTCGGTCCTCTTCCCTCCTGTTCTCTTACCTTCCACCATGGGATGATACAGCAACAAGGCTATTGCCAGATGCTAACACCTTGATATTAGACTTCCTGGTGTCCAAAACTTGATAAATACATTTCTTTTTGACAATAATTTTACCCAGTTGTGGCACTCTATTATAGCAACACAAAATGGACTAAGTCAGTTCTTGTATACTGTATACAGTTGGCCCTCTGTATCCATGGGTTCTCATCCATGGATTTAACTGAACATGAATTGAAAATACTGGAAATAAATTGTGTCTCTACTGAATGCATACAAAGTTTTTCTTCCTGTAATTTTTCCCTAAGCAATACAGCATAACAACTATTTACATAGCAATTACATTGTACTAGAAATTATTAGTAATATAGTGGTACTTTAAAGTATATACTTGGGAGGATGTGCATAGGTTATATGAAAATGCTAAGCCATTTTATTTCAGGGACTTGAGCATCAACAAATTCTGGTATCCAAGTGAGGTCCTGAAACAAATCACTCATGGATACCAGGGGATGATGACTGTACAATATTTAGATTTATTTTTATCATTTAAATTTAATTTTATGCTTTCCCTCCTTTGTCTTTAATTTTTTGCCATTCAATTATGACATTTTAAATGGCCCTTCTATCTGTAGTTGGTTTCAAAAAATATATTCATATGTCAATTCATATGTCAATAAGACTTTCTTTTTTTCTCTGAATCTACTTAGTTGTGCTTCCTTAGACAACCTATAACTCAGGAAATCAAAACTCTGTATCTCCTTACCGCCTCATGGGTGGTGATGTTATGTTATTCACCTTGGTTTTATGAAGTGGTTCTCTTTGGTGGTCATCCAGGGGAACTATTTGGGTCCCATTATCCTAATGGAGGAAAATTCTTAGCTACTTCTTCATTTCCAATTTCAGGTCTCATAAGTTTCATGAGAAGTTAAAAATATTATAAAAATCAGTGAAGTCTTGAAGAGTTGTAACTGGGTGTCTAATTATTGTTGTCATAGATGAGGGAATGCCAAGAAGATGAGGTTTCTGAAGGGCAAACTTCAGTCAGCCTCCGCTTCTTAATTCATAACTCAAGTTGTCGTGATTTTTGAATAATTAAAGTGAGCAGAGGAAACAGAATGGAGTGGATGATAACATTGAAAATGGAGACTGCACTTAGTTATAAATATTTTCTAATTTCTTTTTCCTTTGGTCAGTCTTGACATAGAGTTAAGCTTGCTTGTTAAGATTAGGCAACATGAGATTAATAAAATTCTATACAATTTGGGAAGCCAAATCGATTTTTGTTTGCTTTATTATTTTGACAAAATTCTAAACGGCTATAACTATTGAGAGGATGGTTTTGCTGCTTCAGTAAGTATTATAGTATCCTTTGCCATTGCTGATTTTATTTTATTAATGGACATTTAATCACAACTAGTGACAACAGAGAGATTATAATAAATTAGAAAAATGAGATTAGTCAAATTATGTTTTACCAGAAAAAAATTGTTTTTTCATGTTTATTATTTTTTTTCTAATAAAACTAACATCATCATTAGATTTTCTATTCAGCAAATTTGTCAAAAGCATCCAGAAATGTACGGGCAGGGTGCCATATATCTTCAGAGAAGAAAAATCACTTTTAGTTTGAAACAATCTGTGACAGACAGACTTGTAATATGGCCTATAGTGATTCTCAACCTCCTAGTTTTCAAACCATTTTGAAATTCCTTCTCCTTCAGAGGGGCCTGAATATAGTGACTTTCTTCCAACCAACATAATATAGCAAAGTTGATGAGTTACTACTTCCATGATTGCTACAAAGATGGTGACTTCTACCTTGCTAGTAACACTGTCCCTTGCTGGCTTTGATAAAACAAGTTACTATATTTGAGAAGCACATGTGATAATTGTCTGAGGGCCACTTTTGGCCAATAGCTATTAGCAAAAAGATTCTCCATTCAACATCTGTTGAAAAACTGAATACTACCAACAACCACCTAAATTAGCATGGAAGAAAACTTGTACCCAGTGAAGCCTTGAGATGACTCCCCAGCCCTGGCAACACAGGCATGCACATTCATTGCAGTCTTTTAAGAAACCTTGAAGTAAAAGACTCAACAGGGCAATTCCCCGATTTCTGATCTGTAGGAATGGTGAGAGAATAAATGTGTGTTGTTTTTAGTATTAATGTCTAGGGTACTGTTTTGCACATTAATAGATAACTAATATAACTTGTATGAACGTCAACATAAACATCAGATTGTTTTCTTATGAGTGAGTGCTACAGGGCTATTTATTTATAATGCTAGTATAACTCTTGGCATATAATATTATGTTCCCAGAGTACTCATGTTGAAGTCCTGGAGTCAAAGATTAACATCCCAGCAGCACAGCCCTAAATCTAGCAAAAGTTTTATTCAAATTTTGGTTCCATTTTCCTCTTTATTTGTGAGAGGAGATACATATGAATCAGTCTGGGTTCTATGTGTAAATATGATTGCTATAACTTAGACTAGTACCCAGTTTAAATATCTATTATGCCATATTTCCTTTCATACATTTATAATATGAATTATATAATAAACACGAGTTTCACATGATTGTCACTGTGCTTGGTTGGTTAGTTTCTGTTTTTGTGGTACTTTTGAGATTTTGGCCTTAATTTTTCCTCATCAGCTTTATAGGGATCCCTATTTTTTCTGTGTCATTACTTCTTGGGAATATGTTAAGCCACGGAAGGAAAAAAAAACTATTTAAAAATGATTAAAATATAGTTTCCGCCAAGATATCTACTTTATACATTATTTAGGCATTTCTTTTCTGGCTTCAATTAGTTGATTGTGCCCTTTTAAATCACAGTTTTATAAATGATGTTCCTGTATCTAACAATTTGTGATTAATTTTTCTCTGTGACAGAAACTGAAGCCTGAAACTACTCCCTTTGGTTCCCTTTATTCATTACTCAATGATTCCATCAGTGATGGGTACACAGAATTGAAAATGTTCTAAGCTAACTGAACCTGACTCAGCAGGGCCTGGGGAATCTAGCCATGAGGGATGAAAGGGAAAAATCTGGAGACTCTATATGCCTATAGGAAAACACCTGTTTGAATGTCTCTTCTTAACTGACTTTGTCTAGTTTTATACAATAATGAAAGCCATTTGAATGCAAAAATCATAGCCTAAAAAGCAAAGAGAAGAAATTCCTGACACTGTCTTATTTGATTTTAAATAAATAATACAAGCAAACTCTCTGAACTAGAAAAAAGTGAGATCCATGAAAATGAGGCCAGTCGTGAGTTACAATTTGCTTTCTTTTACGCACAGTGTTTGAAACTTAGAGAAACAGGATCTTGGAGACAATATTTACTTTACCTGTTTCTCTAATACTATATGAATCCACAAACAAATCTCCATGTTTATTTTGAACAACACCAAAGTTGTCACATGATTCCAGGTGATTTGCTCTAATAGCAATTACCTATTTTCAGCTACAGAACCTTTTTTCTGTTGCTTTTTCACCTTTTAATGCCTTCATCTTCAATTTATGCTTTCTGCCACAGGTGGCGGCAGTCTCATGGGTACAGGATAGTGAGCCTGCTGATGTGAGATCCAAATTTATCAACTCAGCTCAAACTTATTTTTAAACACATTTTAATTTCATTTCATTTTACCTTTAAACTTGGTTTTAAATTGTGAAAATAATACATAATATAAATATTCATTTAGAACAACAATTGGTAATAAGTAGAAGTTACTTCACAATGGCACTAGCAGCGTCATAAGACCATTCCCTGAATGTAAATACTTTAAAACAATTTCTTAAGCATCTTTTCAGATAATTTATTTGCACGTATCAAGGTTTCACAAATAAATGAGATTATATTGTCACACTGTTGTGCAATTTGATTTTAAAAATTAACAGCATATTATATGCTATATCTTTTTCCATAGTATAGTTAATGCCTAATATATTTAACCATTCTCCTATTCCTTTAACTTTCCTTCTTCTCTTCCTTTTTCATTATTCTTCTTTTGTATTTATTAAACGAACTATGTAATGAGTAGCACTTCACATATATCTTCGTGTATATGTTTGAAATTATGGGTGGATGAATTCCCAAATATGGAATTGCTAGCTCTTATGGTATACACTTTTAAAATAAAAGATTGAACGAATTTAAACTTCCACAAAAATGTTTGTGAATGCTTAATTCTTCTAGAGTTTTGTCAACATTGGTTATAAACCCTAGCTTAATTGGTTAGTGTTTCAAAATATATATATCTCATTGGTATTTTAATTTGAATTATGTAAAGTGAGTGAAGTTGAGCATATTTTCCTCTATTAACTAGCTATTCGTATTTATTTTTCTTTGAACTTGGAGTTTGAAATTACATAAATCAGCTTTTACTGTGATAACAAACAATCCCATATCTCAGTATTTTGTGACAAAACACATTTGTTTCTTGCTCATGTTACATAAATACATGGTCTACTCTGGCTTTGCTGGGCTTAGCTCTGTAAATCTTCTCATTTTGAAACACAGGTAACAGGCATAGTCACTATCTACAATTTCTAGTTCTCATGACTGGGGAGCAGAGCAAGAAGATACCTGTCAAGATACACAATAACATCTAAAGTGTCTGTTCAGATGGGGACTTTGGAGTTGTGACAATATATCCTTTTAAATTAGATTGAAAAAATAGATCACATAGCCAAGACCAAGTTCAATGGCGTATAAAGGCATGGAAAAAAACGCGGAGAGAAAAAAAAATTATTGTGAAAACCTAATGAAATTTACCATTATGGTCTTGACATTTCTCTATTGGTTAATTTTCTTGCTTATGTATTTATTAAAAACAATCTTTGTATATTAAGGAAACCATTCCATTGTCATATTTGTAACACTTTTTTATGCAAATCTTCACGTATGTTTGACTTCTATAGTCATTTTTATGCTATAAATTTTTAGAACATTACATATATTATATATAATAAATGTATAATATAAAAATTCCATAGATAATATATATTTTATATAAAACATTAACGTTTATAAATCATATTTATTTATAATATTGTTATATATTATATATAAATTATATATATATAATTTAAAAAATATAAACTTTATTTAACACTTACTTTCATGGCTTCTGGTCCTATATTATGTTAGAAAGAAAATCTCTCCTCCATGACTATAAGAAACAGCAAAATGATGAATTGTTAAGTAAAATAAATCTACATGCACACACAGACACACACTCACACATACACACCCAAATTTGGCCGGGTGCGGTGGCTTACACCTGTAATCCTAGCACTTTGGGAGGCCGAAGCGGGGTGGATCACGAGGTCAGGAGATTGAGACTATCCTGCTAACACGGTGAAAACCCGTCTCTACTAAAAAAAAAATAAAAATAAAAAATTAGCTGGGAGTGGTGGTGGGCGCCTGTAGTCCCAGCTACTTGGGAGGCTGAGGCAGGAGAATGGCGTGAACCCGGGAGGTGGAGCCTGCAGTGAGCCGAGATCGTGCCACTGCACTCCTGTCTGGGCGACAGAGGGAGACTCCATCTCAAAACAAACAAACAAACAAAAAACTACACGAAATATATATCTTGATTATAATTTGTACAGAATATCTTTTAAAGAAACATGCATTTAAACCCAGGTAATTTCCATCCTTCTATTATATCTAAACTAAACTAATTAGAGAAAAAGTATCTCTCTGATCCTCATTTGTTAAGATGACTTAATCAAGTTTAATAAATTTTTTTTCTAGACCTTTATATCTGTTTATCTGCATCGATATGTTTCTTGTTTTTTTCCACAGAAGTTTAATACAATTCCTAAACATGCCATAAAATTCAAATACCTAAATCACTCCGTTTGATTTATTTTCAACAAATCTCTTCTTGACATATTCTATTTTCCAGAAAACACCATATTTCCTTGTTTCTCCTGGATCTGGACATATATGTATATAAAAGCACATATATAAAGAGGTAGATATTAATATCCATGTTATTAATCACGTGTTTAACATTCTAAAACTGAAGTGCTATGGTGACTTGATTCACATAGTTCAATGATGTCTGACAAAGTCATTCACTTCCACATACTTTCATATAGTATAATTCAAGAGAAGTTTAAATCATGTTCTCACCTGGAAAGGGCTTATAATTTAATTCAGGTAACAAGTACATATATCAACAATTAGTGAATTATATAGGGCTTTAAATAATAAAATTATATTATTATATACAAAGTAATATCAAAACCAGCACGCATTAGAGCTGTCAATAGAAGCTTTGCTGGAGGAAGAGGCCCAATTTTAAAGATGGATAAGATCTAGGTAGACGCTAAAATTATAAAAGACTAAATATAAACATTGGGTAAAAGGACAGGATAAGCAAAGGTAAGGTAATGAGAAAAGGATTAGACTTTTAGATACAATAAATAATGTCTACACTAACCTGCTTGCTGAAGACTGGAAGTGTATAATATTAAGAAACAGTAGATACAGACCAACTTCTGGCATGTTGATATGAGGCGTTCTGTGGACCTTCTCCCTAGTGAAACTGATAAAAAATATTTTTTAAAAAGATACAACAATTTAAAGCCATGGACATGATCTTAAGAGCATACAATAAATGAAGAAACATCCAGTCAAGAAAATTAACAAAAATTTGGTAAGAAAAGTCAGAGTCAATGGTATTTAAAACAAAATTACTTCTTCCCAATCCCCACCTGCAGCTGATAATGCCACCCCAAACCACTACATTGGAGATCACAGTGCTTTCTTTCTACCCTGCTCCCCATCACAGGGTTTTGTTGTTGTTGTTGTTGTTGTTGTTGTTTTCCCTGGGAAGAGCAGGATGTCAGAATTTCTCATCCTTCCCCAGCTGCCTGCTCAGTCTGAGTTTTGGGAAAGTGCACTTGAAAAGTGGGGACTCCTTTGCTAAAACTAACTCTCACTCTGTCTTTGGCACATTATCACTAAGAATATGGGGGCAGAAACTGCTTTTGACAAAATTATAACAGTGAGAGAAATTTAACATAACACTTTACTGTTCTTCAAAACTCACAAGTTGACCACGTTGCTCACTGCTGTATGTAGACCAAGCTAACTATGGGAGGAATTTGGTTTCTAGCTTAATTTTAAAACAAATATAATAATGAGATTGTTTATTCTCAGTACTAGTCCCTTCCTTGCTTTAGGACTGAAACTGTCTATATAGCATTAATGAAAGCCTACAAAGCTAGAATTGTGGTAAAGGCCTGAATTTTGTTAAGACTTAGGCAGAAGTTCAGTGATAACCAGCCATTGTTTGTTTGCTTTTCCATAATTGCTTACAGCTCAGAAAGTCACCTAACTAGGGGTTACAAGATTGAAAACTTCTCCAAATTACTCCTATGGATAGGGTCACTATTGCAACACCTAAGACTGATGTTCAAGTTATTTTTCAGACCTTGCATTCTGATGAACCAACTGACACCAACCAGACTTGTGTCCCATACCAAGGAACTCACTCAACTGGTCCTGTGAACCCCACCCAGAAACTGATTCAGCGCACAAAGACAGGTTTGACACTCCTATGATTTTGCCTATGACCCAACCAGTCAGCATTCCCCATTCCCTAGCCTGTCAAAATATCCCTAAAAAAAAAACTTTAACTTCTGAATTCTTAGGAAGGCAGAATTGAGAACTATCTCCCATGTTCTCATTTAGCTGAATCTGTAATTATTAAACTCTTTCTTTACTGCAAACACCTGCTGTCTCTGCGTATTGGGTAATTCTGTGCAGTGGGCAAGAAGAACCCATCCGGCTGCAACAGGGCGCTGATCATGCTTTTCGTTGCTTGTAAAGTGGTGATTCTATGCCAGGAGAAGCAAAAAGAGAAGACCTCAGGCTTCTGCCTGCCTCTAGTGAGTGCTCAGTTCCTGAAGCATGGGTATCACTTAGACTGAAGAGTGGCATTGTCCCCACCCTCAGATCTAGAGCCCTGACTCAAAGGTTTTGCCTGGGGGAAGAAGCAGGACCTAAAGCTGATAACTCCTAATTTCTTCCCAAAGTCCTGACTTCATTTGCAGCAAGATGTAAAGGCCAAGCCAATAGGTACGCTTAATAACAGTGGACATTGAGGTTGAGTACAACTGAAAAGTGATTAGCAGATTTGGTGAAGGTATGGTCTAAATTTGTCCCAACCAGTTTGCAAGAGAGAGTGGGAAAAACCTACTGGGAGAATTCCTTCTGGGGAAAGCATGAATATCAAATGTGGACCTAAAGAGTTGTTCCTTCAAAGGAGTGTAAATTTGATTGAATTAATATCTAGAGCAATTTAGGCTTTAGAAAATTGTTGAAAACAATAGAACAGTCACTCAGCAATTATTGGAGCTTCACAGCTGGTTGTGGTCAGGGAAAGCAGCAAAAAAAGCCCTGCCAAAAAAATGGTCATTTCAAGGTGACTAAGCTGCAGTTTCCTGAGGAGCATCATCCCAGGTTAAACATAGCCATGGTAGGCAGTGGGGTGGGTGGGGGTGGGAGGTAAGGGGGAAGAGATAATAGACCAGTTCAGCCAGTCACTAAACAAATAGACAAACATGCAGCAATAACAAGCCAACCCTCTCAGTGGGGTGAGGGGATTCCAAGTGTTGGTGCAATATAATATCTAAAAAGCCTACTTTCCAACACAAAATTATGAGACATGCAATAAAACCAGAAAATATAATCATACACTTAGAAAAAGCAGGAAATAGAAGCTGTTGATGAGAGCAACCAGATGTGGGATTTAACAGGAAGAGACATCTAGATATTATAAATATTTTCAAATAACTAAAACTAAAAGAAATAATGATTAAAGAAGCAAAGGAAGATGTAATCACTACGTTGCCTCAGAAAATATAGAGAAAAATTATTGGAAAAAAATCTGGAGTTGAAAGTATAACTAAAATAAAATATTTACTAGGGTTGATGAAGAAATGATTGGAATCGGTGAAGAAAGAATTAGCAAAATTGAAGATAAATCAGTAGAAATTATGTAATCCAAAGAATGGAGAGAAAAAAGAATGGAGGAAAATGAACAGAGCCTCAGAGAATCCTTTAAATACTCCAATATGCATAATAGGGTTTGGCTGTGTCCTCACCCATATCTCATCTTGAATTATAACTCCCACAATTCCCATGTGTCATGGGAGGAACTCTGTGGGAGGTAATTGAATTATGGGGGTGGGCCTTTCCCACGCTATTCTCATGATAGTGAATGAGTCTCTCAAGATCTGGTGGTTTTAAAAAGAAGAGCTCCCCTGCAAAAATTCTCTTTGCCTGCCACCATCCACATAAAATGTGACTTGCTTCTCCTTGCCTTCTGCCGTGATTTTGAGGCCTCCCCAGCCATGTAGAACTGTGAGTACAGTTAAACCTTTTTCTTTTGTAAATTATCTAATCTTGAGTATGTCTTTATGAGCAGCATGAAAATGGACTAATACAACACACATAATAGCACTACCAGAAAGAGAAGAAAATGAAGAGAAAAAAATTTGAAAAAGTAATGGCTGAAAATTTCCCAAATCAAAGAGAAATTAGACAATACTTTGATATAAATAAAACTGAAGACACATCATATCAAAATGTATCAAATGCAATTACAGCAATACTTAGAGGGAAATTGATAGTTACAACTAACTATATGCAGAAAAAAGAAAGATCTCAAATCAATAATCTAAACTTCTATCTTACTACACAAGAAAAAGAAGAGAAAACTAAATTGAAAGCAAAGAAAACAATAAATATTAGAGCAGAAGTTAATGAAATAGATAATAGAAAAACAAACAAAAAAATCAATGAAACCAAAGTTGTTTCTTTTAAATGGTCAATTAAAATAACAAACTTCTCGCAGGATTGACTAAAACAAACAAACAAACAAAATGAGAGAAAGCACTTAAAGTACTGGCATGAGAAATAAAAGCGGGGGAGACATTATTACAGACCTTATCCGAATATTATGAATATTGCATATGTTGAAAAATTAGATAATTTAGATGGATTGCACACATTCCTGGGAACATGCAAACTCTAAAACTGACTTGAGAAAATACAATATGAATAAAACTATAACAAATAAAGTGTTTGAATCAGTAATAAAAGGATTACCCACAAAGAAAAGACCAGGCCTAGATCCTTCAGTGTGAAATTATTCCAACTATGTTAAGCAGACTGAATTCACCAATTCTTCAAAAAATCTTTCAAATAATAGAACGAGAGGAAAAAGTTGTAATCTTTTATTATTTTATTTTATTATTATTATACTTTAAGTTTTAGGGTACATGTGTACAATGTGCAGGTTTGTTACATATGTATACATGTGCCATGTTGGTGTGCTGCACCCATTAACTCGTCATTTAGCATTAGGTATGTCTCCTAATGCTATCCCTCCCCCCTCCCCCCAACCCAAAACAGTCCCCAGAGTGTGATGTTCCCCTTCCTGTGTCCATGTGTTCTCATTGTTCAATTCCCACCTATGAGTGAGAACATGTGGTGTTTGGTTTTTTGTCCTTGTGATAGTTTGCTGAGAATGATGGTTTCCAGTTTCATCCATGTCCGTACAAAGGACATGAACTCTTCATTTTTTATGGCTGCATAGTATTCCACTGTGTATATGTGCCACATTTTTTTGAGGCTAGACATACCAAAATCATAAAAAGACTTTGCAAGAGAAAAAACATTCAGACCAATATTTCTTATAAATATGGATACAAAAGTCCTCAACAAAATAATAGCAAATCAAATCCAGCAACAAACAGAAATAATTATACTTCATGATGTGATCCAAAAGTATCTGAGACAGATTTCAATCAATTTAGAAAGTTTATTTTGCCAAGATTAAGGACAAACCTGTGACACAGCCTCAGGAGGTCCTAAGGACACGTGCCAACGGTAGTTGGCTCACAGCTTGGTTTTATACATTTTAGGGAAACAAGAGACATTAATCAATATGTGTAAGAGGTACATTGGTTCTGTCCAGAAAGGCGAGACAACATGACTCAAAGTTGGGGAGAGTGGTAGGGGTAGGACTTCCAGTTCATAGGTAGATAAGAGACAAATTGTTGCATTCTTTTGAGTTTCTGATTACCCTTTCACTGAAAACACAATTTACATATGAGGAAGATAGAGGAATAGTCACTTATGCCTTAGTCTGGCTTAGTGAATCTGCATTCTTAAATAAACAAGAGGACAGAGGAAGCAAACAGGCATATATTATTTGTCTGGGTGAGCAGAGGGATGACTTTGAGTTCTGTCCTTTGTCCTGCACCTGTGAAGATAATCTATCAAATTACATTGCCAAGGTGAAATTCAACAGATCTGTTTTAGGGCAAAGATTTTTGAGGCCCCCAAAGAATTTCCTTCTTCACAAATTGTGAAGGAGGTATGGTAGCTTTTTAATTTTTATAGCTGTCTCATTTAGAAATAAAATGGGAGGCAGATTTGCCTGATGCAGGTCCCTTTGGCTTAGTGATTTTAGGGTCTTGAGATTTGTTTTCCTTTCACAATGACTAAGTTGGATTTATCTGAGAAATGCAAGGTTGGCTTATCTAGCAATCGAGTAATGTAACATATCATATCAACAGATTAAAAAACAAAAAAAATACCCACAAGATTTTCTCAACAAATGTAGAAAAAGTACTTGATAAAATCAAATACTCTTTCATGAAAAAACTTAGCATAGAAGAGACTTTTCTCAACATGGAAAAAGGCAGATACAAAAAATCTGTAGCTAACATCATACTTAATGATGAAGGCTGGATGTCTTTTTTTTTTTTTATAAGAGCGGGAGCAGGATAAGGATTTTTGTTCTCACTAGTTAACATTTAACAGTACTGGAGGTTCTAACCAGGGGAAGGGCAATTAGGTAATGAAAAAATGCATTTGGATTAGAAAGGAAGAAGTAGAACTATCACTATTTGCAGATAATGTGGTATTTTATATAGAGAAACCAAGGAAATTCACTAAAAGTTATTAGAATTAATAAATAAGGCCAGGCACGGTGTCTCACACCTATAATCCCAGCACTTTGAGAGGCCGAGGCAGCCGGATCACCAGAGGTAGGTGTTCAAGACCACCCTGGCCAACGTGTTGAAACCCTGTCTCTACTAAAAATGCAAAAATTAGCTGGGCATGGTGGCGGGTGCCTGTAATCCCAGCTACTGGGGAGGCTGAGGCAGGAGAATCAATTGAACCCAGGAGGCAGAGGTTGTGGTGAGCCAAGATGGTGCTGCTGCACTCTAGCCTGGGCAACAGAGCGAGACTCCATCTCAAAGAAAAATAAATAAATAAATAAATAAATAAATAAATAAATAAGTTCAGCAAGAGAGTAGCACACAAAATCAATATGCAAAATAAATTGCATTTTTAAAATTGTGATGACTGATTTTATGTGTCAACTTGACTGGGCCATGGGATTCCCAGATATCTGGTTGGACATTATTTCTTGGTTGTCTGTGAGGCTATTTTCAGAGGAAACTAGCATTTGAATTGGTACTGAGTGAGGCAGGTGGTCCTCCCCAGTATAAATGGGCACAACCCAATCTATATGAGGATCCAAGTAAATCAAAAAGGTTGAATTTTCTCTGCCTAACTGCTTGAGCTGGGATCAATATCCTGTCCTAAGTGCTCCTGATTCTAGGTTTCAGAATCAGACTGAAATCTACACCATCAGCTTGCTGGCTCTCAAGTCTTTTAAATATACCATAGGCTTTTCTGGTATAGATGGCAGATTATGGGACTTCTCAGCCTTTGTAACTGTGTGAGCCAACACCTTACAATAAATATCTTTCTCTCTCTATTTATTATTGTACACAGAAACCACTGTACTCATCAATTGCTACCTTTGACCAACTCAAATTCAGCATTTTAAAAAATGGATAAATTTCCATTTCTTTGGAGTTTTTGTTTACTCTTTTGTGGGTATTATATTTGTACAACTTCTTGAGAGCATGTTTAAAGTCTTTTAAATTAATATAATGAGATAAGAAACTTTTAATAAACAACATTATAGCACACATTATAGCATACATTACTTGAAAATTTCTCCTGTATATCACTGGCCACTTTTAGTTGCCTATAGCTAACTGAACAGTTATTAAAAATTCCCAAAAGAAATGAGCTGTAGTAAGGAATGTTTCCTTTATTTCCAGTTATTTTTTTCTATTTGTATTGGTATAGGGATCCATTTATTTTTGTCAAGGATATTCTAGGTATGTTTGTCCACCTCATTAAGATTAGGAGGTGAGACATCTACTAATTTACCACCTAGTGCACTCTGACTATATGAAGTGGGAGCTCTTTCCTTCCCCCTCTCCCAGCCTACTTAGGAATTCAAAATGTGAATCAGGAAGCATCATGTATTTTCAAAAAAAAAAAAGCGTGGTTTATCAAAGGCTATATTAAAGATGAAGGTGTGTAGTTTGGAGTTTTGTTCCATCAGTGTGGACTGAGCAGCTGTTTGAAGAATATCATTAATTACTTTAATCTTTTTTTTTTAATTGACAAAACAAAATGGTTCTAAAAAACGTTTTGAAACAACTGTGAACAGATAAAGAGTCACTGGATCGTTTATCTAAGTAAACCTATGCATGGCATGGCATTATATTTCATTTAATCTAAAAATGTATTTATCTGATGGCTGAATAGGAACAGCTCCAGTCTACAGCTCCCAGCATGAGTGACGCAGAAGACAGGTGATTTCTGCATTTCCAACTGAGGTACCAGAACCATCTCACTGGGGCTTGTCAGACAGTCAGTGCAGGACAGTGGGCGCAGCCCACGGATCATGAGCCGAGGTAGGGCGGGGCATCGCCTCACCTGGGAAATGCAAGGGGTAAGGGAATTCCCTTTCCTAGCCAAGAGAAGCTGTGACAGACGGCACCTGCAAAATCAGGTGACTCCCACCCTAATACTATGCTTTTCCAATGGTCTTAGCAAATGGCACACCAGGCGATGATATCCCGCGCCTTGCTCAGAGGTTCCCACACCCACAGAGCCTCACTCATTGCTAGCACAGCAGTCTGAGATGGAACTGCAAGGTGGCAGCGAGGCTGGGGGAGGGGTTCCTGACATTGCTGAGGCTTGAGAGGGTAAACAAAGCAGCCAGGAAGCTCGAACTTGGTGGAGCCCACCGCAGCTCAAGGAGGCCTGCCTGTGTAGACTCCACCTCTGGGAGCAGGGCATAGCCGAACAAAAGGCAGCAGAAACCCCTGCAGACTTAAATGTCTCTGTCTGACAGCTTTGAAGAGAGTAGTGGTTCTCCCTGCATGGAGTTTGAGATCTGAGAATGGACAGACTGCCTCCTCAAGTGGGTCCCTGACCCCAGAGTAGCCTAACTGGGAGGCATCCCCCAGTAGGAGCAGACTGACACCCCACACGGCCGGGTACCCCTCTGAGACGAAGCTTCCAGAGAAACGATCAGGCAGCAACATTTGCTGCTCACCAATATCCGCTGTTCTGCAGCCTCCACTGCTGATACCTAGGCAAACAGGGTCTGGAGGGGACCTTCAAAAAACTCAACAGACCTGCAGCCGAGGGTACTGACTGTTAGAAGGAAAACTAAAAAACAGAAAGGACATCCACACCAAAATCCCATCTGTACATCACCATCATCAAAGACCAATGGTAGATAAAACCACAAAGATGGGGAAAAAACAGAACAGAAAAGCTGATAATTCTAAAAATCAGAATGCCTCTCCCCCTCCAAAGGAATGCAACTCCTTGCCAGCAATGGAACATAGCTGGATGGAGAATGACTTTGACGAGTTGAGAGAAGAAGGCTTCAGATGATCAAACTTCTCTGAGCTAAAGGAGGAAGTTCGAACTCATCGCAAAGAAGATAAAAACCCTGAAAAAAGATTAGATGAATGGCTAACTAGAATAACCTGTGTAGAGAAGTCCTTAAATGATCTGCTGGAGCTGAAAACCATGACACGAGAACTATGCGACAAATGCACAAGCTTCAGTAGCCCATTTGATCAACTGGAAGAAAGGGTATCAGTGATTGAAGATCAAATGAATGAAATGAAGCGAGAACAGAGGTGTAGAGAAAAAAGAGTAAAAAGAAATGATCAAAGCCTCCAAGAAATATGGGACTATGTGAAAAGACCAAATCTACATCTGATTGGTGTACCTGAAAGTGACGGGGAGAATGGAATCAAGTTGGAAAACACTGTGCAGGAAACTATCCAGGAGAACTTCCCAAACCTAGCAAGGCAGGCCAACATTCAATTCAGGAATTACAGAGAACATCACAAAGATACTCCTTGAGAAGAGCAACTCCAAGACACATAATTGTCAGATTCACCAAAGTTGAAATGGAGGAAAAAATGTTAAGGGCAGCCAGAGAGAAAAGTCGGGTTACCCACAAAGGGAAGCCCATCAGACTAAGAGCTGATCTGTCGGCAAAAACTCTACAAGCCAGAAGAGAGTGGGGGCCAATATTCAACATTCTTAAAGAAAAGAATTTCAACCCACAATTTCATATCCAGCCAAACTAAGCTTCATAAGTGAAGGAGAAATAAAATACTTTACAGACAAGCAAATGCTGAGAGATTTTGTCACCACCAGGCCTGCCCTAAAAGAGCTCCTGAAGAAAGCACTAAACATGGAAAGGAACAACCGGTACCAGCCACTGCAAAAACATGCCAAATTGTAAAGACCATTGAGGCTAGGAAGAGACTGCATCAACTAACGAGCAAAATAACCAGCTAACCTCATAATGACAGGATCAAATTCACACATAACAATATTAACCTTAAATGTAAATGGGCTAAATGCTCCAATTAAAAGACATAGACTGGCAAATTGGATAAAGAGTCAAGACCCACCAGTGTGCTGTGTTCAGGAGACCCATCTCACGTGCAGAGACACACATAGACTCAAAATAAAGGGATGGAGGAAGATCTACCAAGCAAATGGAAAACAAAAAAAGGCTGGGGTTGCAATCCTAGTCTCTGGTAAAACAGACTTTAAACCAACAAAGATCAAAAGAGACAAAGAAGGCCATTACATAATGGTAAAGGGGTCAATGAAACAAGAAGAGCTAACTATCCTAAATATATATGCACTCAATACAGGAGGACCCAGATTCATAAAGTCCTTAGAGACCTACAAAGAGACTTAGACTCCCACACAATAATAATGGGAGACTTTAACACACCACTGTCAACATTAGAAAAATCAACAAGAGAGAAAGTTAAAAAGGATATCCAGGAATTGAACTCAGTTCTGCACCAAGCAGACCTAATAGACACCTACAGAACTGTCCACTCCAAATCAACAGAATATACATTATTCTCAGCACATCGCACTTATTCCAAAATTGACCACATAAATTGACCACATTGTTGGAAGTAAAGCAATCGTCAGCAAATGTAAAAGAACAGAAATGATAACAAACTTGTCTCTCAGACCACAGTGCAATCAAACTAGAACTCAGGATTAAGATACTCACTCAAAACCGCTCAACTACATGGAAACTGAACAACCTGCTCCTGAATGACTACTGGGTACATAACAAAATGAAGGCAGAAATAAAGATGTTCTTTGAAACCAATGAGAACAAAGACACAACATACCAGAATCTCTGGGACACATTCAAAGCAGTGTGCAGAGAGAAATTTATAGCACTAAATGCCCACAAGAGGAGGCAGGAAAGATCTAAAATTGACACCCTAACATCACAATTAAAAGAACTAGAGAAACAAGAGCAAACACATTCAAGAGCTAGCAGAAGGCAAGACATAACTAAGATCAGAGCAGAACTGAAGGAAATAGAGACACAAAAAAACCTTCAAAAAATCAACGAATCCAGGAACTGGTTTTTTGAAAAGATCAACAAAATTGATAGACCACTAGCAAGACTAATAAAGAAGAAAAGAGACAAGAATCAAGTAGATGCAATAAAAAATGATAAAAAGGATATCACCACCGATCCCACAGAAATACAAACTACCATTAGAGAATACTATAAACACCTCTACACAAATAAACTAGAAAATCTACAGGAAATGGATAAATTCCTGGACATATACACCCTCCGAAGAATAAACCAGGAAGAAGTTGTATCCCTGAATAGAGCAATAACAGGCTCTGAAATTGAGGCAATAATTAATAGCCTAACAACCAAAAAAAGTCCAGGACCAGATGGATTCACAGCCGAATTCTACCAGAGGTACAAGGAGGAGCTGGTACCATTCCTTCTGAAACTATTCCAATCAATAGAAAAAGAGGGAATCCTCCCTAACTCGTTTTATGAGGGCAGTATCATCCTGATACCAAAGCCTGGCAGACACACAACAAAAAAAGGGAATTTTAGACCAATATCCCTGATGAACATCGATGCAAAAATCCTCAATAAAATACTGGCAAACCAAATCCAGCAGCACATCAAAAACTTATCCACCATGATCAAGTGGGCTTTATCCCTGGGATGCAAGGCTGGTTCAACATATGCAGATCAATAAACACAATCCAGCATATAAACAGAACCAAAGAAAAAAACCACATGATTATCTCAATAGATGCAGAAAAGGCCTTTGACAAAATTCAACAGCCCTTCATACTAAAAATTATCAATAAATTAGATATTGATGGGACGTATCTCAAAATAATAAGAGCTATTTATGACAAACCCACAGCCAATATCATACTGAATGGGCAAAAACTGGAAGCATTACCTTTTAAAACTGGCACAAGACAGGGATGCCTTCTCTCACCACTCCAATTCAACATAATGTTGGAAGTTCTGGCCAGGGCAATCAGGAAGGAGAAAGAAAAAAAGGGTATTCAATTTGGAAAAGAAGAAGTCAAACTGTCCCTGTTTTCAGATGACATGATTTTATATTTAGAAAACCCCATCGTCTCAGCCCAAAATCTCTTTAAGCTGATAGGCAACTTCAGCAAAGTCTCAGGATACAAAATCAATGTGCAAAAATCAGAAGCATTCTTATACACCAATAACAGACAAACAGAAAGCCAAATCATGAGTGAACTCCCATTCACAATTCCTTCAAAGAGAATAAAATACCTAAGAATCCAACTTACAAGGGATGTGAAGGACCTCTTCAAGGAGAACTACAAAGCACTGCTCAACGAAATAAAAGAGGACACAGACAATTGGAAGAACATTCCATGCTCATGGATAGGAAGAACCAATATCGTGAAAGTGGCCATACTGTCCAAGGTAATTTATAGATTCAATGCCATCCCCATCAAGCTACCAATGACTTTCTTCATAGAATTGGAAAAACCTACTTTAAAGTTCATATGGAACCAAAAAAGGCCCCACATTGCCAAGTCAATCCTAAGCCAAAAGAACAAAGCTGGAGGCATCATGCTACCTGACTTCAAACTATACTACAAGGCTACAGTAACCAAAACAATATGGTACTGTTACCAAAACAGAATTATAGACCAATGGAACAGAACCGAACCCTCAGAAATAATACCACACATCTACAACCATCTAATGTTTGACAAACCTGACAAAAACAAGAAATGGGGAAAGGATTCCCTATTTAATAAATAGTGCTAGGAAAACTGGCTAGCCATATGTAGAAAGCTGAAACTGGATCCCTTCCTTACACCTTATACAAAAATTAATTTAAGATGGATTAAAGACTTAAATGTTAGACCTAAAACCATAAAAACCCTAGAAGAAAACCTAGGCAATACCATTCAGGACATAGGCATGGGTAAAGACTTCATGTCTAAAACACCAAAAGTAATGGCAACAAAAGCCAAAATTGACAAATGGGATCTAAGTAAACTAAAGAGCTTCTGCACAGCAAAAGAAACTACCATCAGAGTGAACAGGCAACCTACAGAATGGGAGAAAATTTTTGCAATCTATTCATCTGACAAAGGGCTAATATCCAGAATCTACAATGAACTCAAACAAATTTACAAGAAAAAAACAAACAACCCCATCAAAACATGGGCAAAGGATATGAACAGACACTTCTCAAAAGAAGACATTTATGCAGCCAACAGACACATTAAAAAATGCTCATCATCACTGGCCATCAGAGAAATGCAAATCAAAACCACATGAGATACAATCTCATACCAGTTAGAATGGTGATCATTAAAAAGTCAGGAAACAACAGGTGCTGGAGAGGATGTGGAGAAATAGGGACACTTTACACTGTTGGTGGGACTGTCAACTAGTTCAACCATTGTGGAAGACAGTGTGGTGATTCCTCAAGGATCTAGAACTAGAAATACCATTTGACCCAGCCATCCCATTACTGGGTATATACCCAAAGGATTATAAATCATGCTGCTATAAAGACATATGCACACGTATGTTTATTGTGGCACTATTCACAATAGCAAAGACTTGGGACCAACCCAAATGTCCATCAATGATAGAGTGGATTAAGAAAAAGTGGCACATATACACAATGGAATACTATGCAGCCATAAAAAAGGATGAGTTCATGTCCTTTGTGGGGACATGGATGAATCTGGAAACCATCATTCTCAGCAAACTATTGCAAGGACAAAAAACCAAACACTGCACGTTCTCACTCATAGGTGGGAATTGAACAATGAGAACACTTGGACACAGGAAGGGGAACGTGACACACCAGGGGGCCTGTTGTGGGGTCAGGGGAGGTGGGAGGGATAGCATTAGGAGATATACCTAATGTAAATGACGAGTTAATGGGTGCAGCACACCAACATGGCACATGTATACATATGTAACAAACCTGCACGTTGTGCACATATACCCTAGAACTTAAAGTATATAAAAGAAATGTGCTTATCTGACTGTTAGATTTGGGTTGTGTCAGTACCTTATGTCAAGCTCAATTCTTCTTCAGACACAGACAATAAATAAAGTTGAAAATATTTTGTGGGAAAAAAGATTAATTTTATATGACTTGATTGAATATTTGGTATTTTTTTTTTTTTTTTTTTTTTTTTTTAGGTGGAGTCTCTGTTGCCCAGGCTGGAGTGCAGTGGTGCAATCTCAGCTCACCACAACCTCTCCCTCTTTGGTTCTAGCGGTCCTCCTGCCTCCACCTCCCAAGTAGCTGAGATTACAAGCATGTGCCACCACGCCTGGCTACTTTTTGTATTTTTAGTAGAGAAGGGGTTTCACCATGTTGGCCAGGCTAGTTTTGAATTTCTGACCTCAAGTTATCTACCGCCTCAGCCTCCCAAAGTGCTGGGAATACCGGTGTAAGCCACCATGCCCAGACCTCCTATTATTTATTAAAATAAAATAAAATAAAATAAACCTGATAGATCTTTGGGAGGTGGTTGTATAGGTAAGTATGTTTGAGTGTTAAGACACTGTAAGATAAATGTTCAAGTGGTAATTGAGAAGGAACTTAAACTGGCAGCACATTTTACTTTCTGGTGATTATTCATTATCTGTGATGCAATAAGTTCGTAATAGTCACTTTACTGGGTATATAAAAGGTGCTTGATACTATTTTGTTTAAATGAAATTACAGCCAGCAAATATCCTTTGTATGTTAATTTTTATTAATTTATACTTAGCTTATATTTCCACATTTGAAAAGTAGATTTTTTTGTTTTTTACTATGTCTATAAATTATAAGGTGAAAATATAAAATGTAGTAAATATAATAAGCTCCGAAAAATAACATTTTTGTTATGGCAGAGATAGTGACAAGGGTTTTTTAAATTCTCTGCTATTTCTTTAACTAGTTATAAAATAGCCTATCCCTGAGATTAATTTGAACCTACTGTGACTTATAAAATAACTGAATGTGCAACCGACTTTTTAAAGGTCACAGGGAATTGAAAGAAGTAGATGAGTAAGATGGTTAAATGCCTTTTTTATTTTTATTTTTTCTTAAGTATGAGTTTTTCTGTAAAGCCTTAGAGAGACTTTTGGCCCAGAAAGTAGTTGAGTAGGGATTAAGTTCTTGCAGGAAAAAAAAAGAAAGTTTGTTCCCTGAAGGTATTAGAAGGATCCCAGCTGTTGGGGTACTACTCCCTGGTTATGATTGGCACTGAAATGTCAAAGCTCAAAATCCCAAGCCACTAAATTATCTGCTTTAATCAGGCAAGGACTGTCTACCGCCCACAGCTCCGCATCAGCCAAAAGCTGCCTATCTTAGTTTCTTACAGTCTTTTGACTGAGGAGACACCTCCCCATGCCCCTTCAATTATGTTTCCCTTTTCTTCCCCAAAGATAATTTTTTTCTATTATACTCCTTTAAAATATCATTTTACTTATAAAACATTTACTTATAAAATTTATAAAACCCTTTTACTTTTTAGCTACATAGAGAAAAGAAAATGATATATGACCATTGAATCATTCATTCAAATAATATAGTTTGACTTTAGGTATCTAGATTTGTCAGAGGAGACATATCTAGATGCATAATAATTTAATAGAGATTAGTAATAATAACAGTTTATATAATATAAATATATTAACTTCATATAGACATATATCCTTACACAAAATAAAAGTGTGTGTGTATACATATAGAGGCATATGTGTGTATATATATATATCTATATATGCATGTATGTGTACATATGTATATATGTGTGCATGTATATGTTTATAGAGAGAAACAGACCCAGAGAGAGAATTCATAACTTTGCAGGAAGCCCTTAAAAGCTATTTACATGGAGTATCTTTCTTGTTAGAGTTGATTCCCCACTAAGCAGACATGTTTTACATTTTTTAAATTTTTGGTCTTTACAGGGAGTCTGTCTTGTCATTAAAAAGAAAAAAAAAGAAGCTGCCTCACCAATTAATTCCAATGGTATCTTAAGACTTCTTATTCAGTTCTATAACAGTAAAAATTCTTCTAAATACTTTGCACATATCATTAGGCTATTGAATGACCTGGAATCAAAAGTTTGCATGAAAATAATTAATCCTACTCTTTCTTACTACTGTTATATAAACCAGGGCACTTTAATGTACACCGCCTGGGGAAGTTGTTGAAATTTATATTCTGATCCAGGAGACCCAGAAAGTACCCAAGATTCTCTAGTCCTAAGAAGTTCTGGGGTGCTGCTGCTATTGCTGTGTCAACCATACTTTAAGGAACAAAGTCATAAAGAAGTGCTTCAAATTATCCTTCCTTGCCCCTATATACAACCCTTGTGGATCTCACTGTTTCTCTGGTAAATTTTAGGTTTTAAAAAGCTTACTCAAGTTCAAAGCAATTTCTTACTTGATTAAGAAGTTTTCCTCCCAAAGCCCAGTTCTGATTCAGTCTCAGAAACTTGAAGTGGAAGGGTTGAGGATGACTTCCATGTCAGCTTCTTCAGTCAGGTTCAGCAGTCACAGACAACAGTGTGGGGAAGCAACAGAAGAATCCCTTCAAGAAAACAGACGGGGAGAAAAGGAAATAGAAAAAAATGCTTACTTGACATAACGTATGATATCAGTGCCCATTTGTGTGTCAGCTGTCTAAATATTAATTCTACTGAAGGCTTTTCAGAAAACCTAATTATTGAGGATTTTCATTTCTAGTTTCTTGATGAGGCAACTTGCATCCCTTGGTTATTTACTAACTGACTTGTTTTTCGAGCCATAGTTTAAGCATTCTATTGTGGCCACTTTGGTCTTACAGGAAGTGTCTTTCAAGATAACCTAGGACTGACACCCATCTGCAAAGTCCACACCATCTATGGGGAAACATCAACCTTTGCCCTACTTGTGCTCATGGTGTGCTATGTCCATGCAGCCTGCCTCCTTTTCTGTCCCTGGATAGGCACCTCAAGCCTCTTTCTCATGGTTAGCCTTTTTAGGCATGAGTGAGTCAAGTATCCGTCCTTGCATCCCACATGTTAAGCTATTTTAGTAGTTTTCTTGAAGCAACCTTATATGTAGAAGTTCTCCGAAGTTCGCAGAAAAAATATCTACATAACTTCCTGAAGAAATCTTTATGCTTTAATCTTATTCTGTTCGATCTTTAAGCCTCTTCTCATATACTTTAAAATGTGAGCTATGGGCAGAAAAATAATTTTCTTAGTTTATTTATATCATATTTTATATAGATGCTTTGGCATTTTGCTTTAAAGTGTGGATATGATTAGTATTCATTGTTTCTGGCTTTATGTTTTGAGCTAAACCTTGCCAGAGATAGTACAGTCCTATTACAGAAACTTATTCCATATGTATTATCTCATTTAGTCTTTACCCTGTGAGATAGGGCTATTATTATTCCTACTTTAGAGATGAGAAAATAAGGCACAGAAATAAAATCTATAAATCCAAGTATGTATTGGTCCCTTTTTCACTGTACACATTCATTTACCTTGTAAGTGTTGTATCCCATCTGGTGGTTGGGTGATGCCACTATTCAATAATGTCAGGGGCTCTGGTTGATGGACAGCATGATACGACTAGTGAATCCAATTGACATCAATCCACAGCCTTCTTTCTTTTTCTGAGCAGTAAAAGTTGTATTGGAAGTCATGGTGTGTGAGTTATTATGGCAGTGTATATAGCATTCAGTTCGTATATGGATAGTGTTAGCAGAGAGGGAGGGAAATAAAATCTGAATGCAGATAAATTATCACTTTCAATGATCATACATCTCCATCTCCTTCATGAAGGAAAAAGATCGGGCTTTTTCAGAAGCAGATCTCAAAACAAGGATTCAAAGCACGTCGTGTATTTGAAAAGGCAGGGCACACAAATGTGGAACTAGGAAAGTGATGCATACAAAACAGGGCAACCACGAGCAACTGGACTTCATCCCACAGGGACACTTGGGGAAATTGCAACAAGAATGTCTCAAAATTATTCCACCAGAAAAGTGAAATAAGTGGGGCATTCATATACGAAATCCTAAGAATTGTTAGCTAAGAATTTCAATGGGGTATTCATTTCTTCAGTACTTCTGGCATGCACATGCAGGCCAAGCAACCCAGTTGGGAGTGGCGGCTGGGGTGGTGGTGGTGGAAACACTCAGTAACAAAGATGTATATACTACCAGTTGGACCTCTGTCAGAGCATACTGGAAAGTTGGAGAAATATGAATGGAACACTGGCAACATCTCTCCAGAAAAGTACATAAGGATGGCTGGGAACTGCCATGTGAATGGTACAGTTGGTCAACTGATTTTGGAAGATTGAATGTAGATCATGTTTTTTTTTTTTTTTCTGTTTTTAGAAAAATAATTATTTATTTTTTAGCAGTTATTGTGTGCCAAATATATAGCTACAGTCATCAAGCAGTTAGAAGACAGGTACAAATTTCAAAGATAATTTTTCTGAAGAGGTGACAAGTAATATCAGGAGCAGCAGGGTAATTTTGGGGACTGCAGGGTCATGAAATCACCCTCTTGCAATGGTAAGTGATGCACTTACACTCTGTCAGGAATCTTCATGCAGGTAAATTATTATATGCATTACTTATATTGTACATACAAGTAGTTTTTGCCAAATCAATTATTTTCCATCAGTCATTGTCACTTTGCAGATCCAAAATAATCAACCTGCTCCTGTCAGAATAATGCTTCCACGTAAATATGCTCAGAGGTTGTGAGTATTCTTGGAAAAATTCAGTAATCATCAGTGCAATAGCTAGAACCTACTTGGTTAGATTATATTGGTTAAACTCTTGGATAGTCTTTATTCCTGGTATCATGGCCATTATGTTTATGAGACCATGGAGGAAAGAAGTTCAGGGTACCTAAGGTAAAAGTCTGACTGATATCTGCAGCACAATTCATCTAAACTCCACACTTCTGCAATAAGCTCCTTTTGAGGTTCATGTGGAATGTGGAATACAATTTTCTCATGCTCTCTGCCCATTCTGAGATATCCAACCTCAACCTTCGTTACCCCAAATGCCTACAGTACTATTTACTAACTGGTTGCCAAACTTGTTGCTTCTTCACAGGCTCTGAACCATCTTGGCAGACTATTGGCAACTATATAACCTTGTGTAGCTCACGGACTCTAATTTAAGAGTTTCATCTTCCCAGTGGGTCAGCAATGGGCCCATCAAACAGTTTGAATACTTATCCTAAATTAGCCTATTGAATCACAGCTCTATATATCAATGAATTCAGGATGCTTTAAAATTATGCCTTACTCAACTTTGTTAAGCATCTTTCATATTCATTTCTACAAATTTGATACATATATTTTAATGGCAAATTCCCTTGATTCTTTTTGTGTATAACACTTTATTTCTTGCTCTAATTATAAATTTTACCATAATCTCTTACTCCACCCAAGCCATGTTGAATTTATATTCCTTTTACTTGTCATTCAGTATCCAACCACTGGACAAGATGAACTTTAGTTTTCTTTTTATATCTAAGGACAGCTTCTTCAGGCATGGATGATACTGAATTTCTAAACGAGATGTACAGTAAGTCATGTTTCATTGGAATTTTGGAGGTTGATCTGTTTCATGTCTTTTAATTAATCTGTAGTATCTTCTTAGCAATTAGTAAGAGTCTAATCTTTTATGATCAATGCCCTAACATTCACATAAAATATATGGTCAAGCTGTAAATCAACTGGTATTGTAATTCTGCAAGCTGCAGAGACAATATCTGAATTTGGTCTTCAGTGATTTCTGTTGCCAGCAATATCTTATTTTTTCAACTAGGTCATGAGAAATCTTTGAAGGTTGTTTCATTCCTTAGGAGAACATTTAGGAATTTGATTTGCCCTTTATTTTGACTCATTTATCAAATACCATTTGAAGTGTCCATCTGACCTATGACATAGTAATTTTAATTTCTTTATAGTAGGGGTAATCTGGTTTCCCAGAATTTCATCCTAACTAATAGACAGTTGCTGTTTGGTTTTCTAGCATTCATTCCCCTCTTTTGTCCTGTCCTAAATGTACCAACAATTTAATTTCCTTTTATGTCCCTGTATTACATAGAGGTTTCCTTCATTGCAGCTCTAGAGAAAGGCCATGACTTTCTTTAGGTAATCAGTACATTTTATCCCCCTAGCAAAAATCATGAGTGGATATGTAACCTAGTTTGTCCATTTAGGCTGAATTTGAAGATTGACTCTAGAACACTTTAAAAATGATATACTCATATACTCATATGAAGGTTAGAACTGCTCCATTCTTGGTTTTTTTTTTTTTTTTTTTTTTTTTTTTTAGCAGTGAGAAAAGCCACAGTAAGAAAAAAGGCTGCATATAGGGTAGGACTAAGAAGAAAAAAAATCAGAAAATTCAGATAAATGGCAGCTGGAGGCCAAGCAAACCACACATATGATTTTTCTGCTACTTTTGGTCTTTACAGTTACAATCCCTCACCCCACTCCAAAATACAAATTATTGGGGTAGTTGGAGTTGGAAGTTTTGTTACTTAGAGAAGAAAGATGTCTTACTGCCACATCCTCAATGAATACATTGCTCTAGGTAATCATGAGGAATAATTCATCTACAGTTTTATCACAGAGTCTCATGGACAGCCAGAAACTTATTCTATAATATGAATGGAGATCTTATTCTTTCATTCCAACTTAGCCTTATGAGGAATTTTAAATAGTATATATTTTCCTAATTTGTTTTTTCTAGTACATTAACTAGTACCAATAGCTGTGGTTTTTATCCACTACTTTTTATGTTGCAAGTATAGGAACCCCAGTTAAAATGGTTTCAGGAAATTGTAATTATATTTTATGAAAGTTCAAAATAGAGCTTTCATTATGCATAATTTTGTTCATATCTTAAACATAAATAGGTCCAGAAGTTCAGCTGATGTCACTAGTTTTTTCTTTCTCTTTTTTTCACCTCCACCATCTTTCCACTTTTCTTTGTCTGATTTTATCTTAACTAGGCTTTCTTCTCGAGTTGGCTACATGGTGACTAGTGTCTTCATGTTTACAGTCAATCACGGAAGCCAGGAAGTTGAATTATCTTGATTAAATGGGCAGAGGACACATGCACTACTGAAATAATAGATTGAGGAAAAGTGACACCAAAACCACATGTACTGAAATTCGGGAAGTAATAGTTTACCTGAAGGAAATCAGAGTGCTGATACCTTAAACAGTGTTATGTTATTCAAATTCTGATCGTTTTGTTGTGTTCCAAATGTTCTGTGTATGCATTTCTTAAATTACAATTAAAATGAAAAAGACTAAATAGCTATGTGGCTTTTTCCTACTTTTTTTTTTGTTTATTTTGAGTCACAGTCTCACTCTGTTGCTCAAGCAGGAGTGAAGTGGCCTGATTATGCCTCACAGCAGCCTTGACCTCCCAGGCTTGGATTTCTCCTACTCTTTGCATCTGTTTCTTAAAAGATGTTTCCCTGGATAATAACTCTGCAAGAAACACTCTACACAGAGGTGAGGCTTACAAATTGACAGACTGTGTTTTAAGATGCAGCCTACTGGCAGTCAACTATCAGTCTGGACCTTCCTCATCCTCACATCCTTTGAAAGGAATTTGAGAAATTGATTAATTTGGGAATTGAGTTGGGGGCTAATCAAGGACAAAGACATGACCGCAAGGTGACAGCATCACACAAAAGACTTACTGGGGTCACCTTTTGACAGTTTTGCATGCAGGGTTAGTCCCTCACAGCATGAGCTTGTCCAGAGGCTATGGTGAAAGGTTGGTCATTCAGAAGGGGAGGAAGCCAAGGAAGATGGAGAGGGTATGAGGAGTCAGAGAGAGGGCTTACAAGTTTAGGTGACGTGACTCAGCAGCATGGTAGGGAGTATCTGGGTCAGTGGCCTGGTGTATTTAAAGCCCTGAGATTAATCTTACTTATGGCTAGTACATCCTGGGCAGTTTTGAGGGTTATGCAAGGCAGGCAGGCTCTAAGTGGCTAAACATATGCTTATTTAAGACTACATTTGAAACAAATGAGTGTGTAAAAACTTGCATTCCTGACAAGACGGCTTTTGAGCTAACTGGCCGCAGCATGTTTTGAAGAAGTAGACAACCTAGGAGGCAATATACAGAGGCCATCTTTGGCTCATTTATATAACACCCACTGAATGCCAGTATAACAGGAGTGTTTTTCTTGTTTGTCAAAATCAAGGTAGAATTCTTTGATCTCATCAGATGTTTTATCAAATTCACCTGGAGGAAAGAATTATTTTGCAGCCCCTGCACTGTATTCTGAGTAGCTGCTCGTTTTCACTGATTTCTTTCTTTCTTGGAACCCCCTCCAATCACTTCTTTTATAAGCGGCTGCTTTTTTGTATTTCTGTGTGTTGTTTTTTAACCTGTGTACTTGGGAAAGTAAAAAGCAAATATAAAAACACAATCTGCTAATCTACTGACTTGAACAGAAACTAAATACTTTCAACAAATATTTATTGAATGTTACCATGTGTACAGCAGTAATCAAAACACATAAAAACCCCTATTTCATCAGGTTTTCATTCTAGAATTCCGAAGTGGTTAGCCTGGATTTCAATAAGGGGATCACAATATCTCTAAATCTCAGACAATTACACGTACTGAATGAATGGAGACATTTTTAAAAATAAGCCCTCTGGCATATCTGAACTCAATAAGGAACTCCTCAATAAGATTACAATATGTTTTGTGAATCCTTTCAATTTTTTATTAGAATCATTTGTGGGTTTTGTAGTCAGAAATTAATTCTTTATGTTAGTAACCCATTCTTGAACCATATTCCCATTAAGATTCTTTTTTTATTTAGGTTAGTTTTTGATTTATTAAACCTATAGTACATTTAAAAGTGCTCCTTTGTTTAAGTATAATAAATTCTAGGATAACATTCACTTTTTCCCAAGGTTTCTGTTATATCAAAATCACAGTTAACTATTTCATTGTTTGTTAATGTTAAATGAAGAATAGAATTTCATTTTATTGTGTTCTTGAGTAGTCAGCAAAGCTAGCACTTATCAGAAATTACGCTTTTTGTATAAATAAAGTTGTATGACTTATGGGTAATTTTAAACCTTGTTATTACACTGTATTTCCCATGTAAACAGATTTATAACTCAAATGAAGTAGCTTCTCTCTGTAACTTCTTTGTGATTGGCCATCCGTATGTTGTCACACAGGTGATGCTTTTATTTCTATCTAACAAAAATCTGGCTCAATTAGCCTTGATCAGTGAAAACTAATTCATTATTTCACATAATTAGAAAGTAAACAGATAACATGGACGGACTGCATGCATAGTAGAATCAGAAACCTGTGGTCATTTTTCTATCATTCTCTAAGCTACACTCTCTCTTTGCTTGTCAGCTTACCTACAGGGTAGCTTCCTTCTTGGTCTCAGAATAGCAGTATCTAAGGCAACAGGTTTCTTCATTTATATATTATATGTATGTCTCCTTCAAATACAGAATAAAAGCTATTTGTTCAGTATTACCAGGTTAACTTACATTGTATACCCAGCCTTTAACCAATAATCATTTCCTGGGGAACTATTGGCCTCTGGCTGTGTTATAGAAGTATTTACTTGTAAAGTATTACCATAATTGATTTAGAAAAGTAGATGAGGTTGGTACAAGAAATACTGTCTTAGTTCTGTATTGCTGTGTAACAAATGAGCACAGAGTTAGTGGCTTAAACCAATAGCCATTTAGTATATCATAGTTTCTGCAGTTCAGAAGTCTGGGAAGGGATAACTG